>NC_000011.10:32635757-32787272 GCF_000001405.40 Homo sapiens | reverse complement strand
TGTGTGATTAAATGCATATTAGCGTTTGCCCTAGGCATTTGGTTATTACCATCTTTACTTCATTACATTACCACACTGTATGGCCATATAATTTATAAGATAATACACATCACTTTGTTGCTGATAGGAATTATTCTGTTTTATGGATGGTGTCCTTTAATTTTGCCTTTCATGGATTATAAAATTGGTTAATATCTGCTGAAGTGAATCACTGGAGAAGCAAATAAAGATGTTGGCCTCAGGTCAAAGTGTCATTTGTGATACTGGCAAAATCTTACAGGCTCATTTATCCCTGTACATGATTGATAACAGCATGGGTTAAATGGAGAAAGCTTTGCTTCCATTAAAGGATCATCATGAATGAAGACCTCCCACTTAAAAGTCAGGCATGATGAGAAGACAAGAGACTATCTACAGGTCAAATTAAATAACTTAAATAATTTAAGTAGAATGACAGTGTAATTTGTCCATTCTGTGTTATTACTCTGACCCCTATCAGGATTATAGGCTAACTTACTTTCCACTGTAGAGTATTTAAGATGTAATTTTTAATAAATACTTCCAAAGACATAAAAGCCTTTATATCTCTTAAACTGTGAAAAATATAGATTTTTATTATGTACTTTTGAAAAAAAGCTTTTAAAAAAGCTTGTAATACTTATATAAAATAAATAATATGATGAATGCTGAAATGATGCTTTAAGCATTTTATAATATTATATTGGCCTTATTTTAAAATATATTTTAATAATGAAATATTTATTAATAACAAGTATGTTATAAATATAAATAATATATTTATTATATATTATAATTATATAAATAATATATTTATTATATATTATAATTATATAAATAATATATTTATTATATATTATAATTATATAAATAATATATTTATTATATATTATAATTATATAATAAATACTTGAGTATTATAAATAACAGATTTATTGTTATAAATTACTATAAATAAATGAACTACTTACAAAAGTTCATTAGTAACTATTTTATGCCAAATGTTAAAAATAAAGATTCAGTAAGCATTTCTTAATGGCAACCCTTCTATATGGAATCACTGTTGGAGTTTATTCAAATTGTGTTTCAGGATAGGGGAAGGCGTATGCATTTTTAGATATTTCTGTAATAAAAGCAGTACTGAAGTGTAAGAATATTTTGATCTGTTAAAAGTAAAATATAGATGAAGCTTCAAATTAAATATTACATGTCTTTTTAAAATTACAAAAACAGCATGTTTTATACATATAAGCATTTACATTTCTTCTTCACTGGTTTCTGAACCCTTATGTAAAACCAGGTCTTTACATATGTTACCTTAATTTAATCATCACATCCTGTGAAATAAGTATTATTATCCCTGGTATTAATAGATGAGGAAACTGAAACCTCCTCTGTGTGAGAAGTCACACAGCTAGTAAGAGGAGAGAATTTTAATCCATATCTGTTGTGGATTCTGTTATAGGAAGCTACAAAAATGCATATTTCTTTTTCAAAAGCACATAACAAAAATCTGTACTTTACCACAAAACTTCAAAACTGGTGCACTTCTGCCAGGCATGGTGGCTCATGCCTGTAATCCTAGCACTTTGGAGGCCGAGGCAGGAGGATTGCTTGAGCCTAGGAGTTCAAGACCAGCCTGGGTAACATAGTGATAGCCTGTCTGTCTCTAAAAAAAATAAAAAATTCACTGGGTATGGTGACACATGCCTACAGTCCCAGCTACTTGGGAGGCTGAGGTGGCAGGGTCACTTGAGCCCTGGAGGTCAAGGCTTCAGTGAGCTGTGATCACGCCACTGCATTCCAGCCTGGGTGACAGAGTGAGATCCTGTGTCAAAAAAACAAAAACAAAAAATAAAAGAAAAACTGGTGCATTTCTCACCTTGTCAAGCTGTCTGTAACAGCATCGTAAAACTTTTTTTGACAGTGAGCCACTGTAAGAAATACATTTCACATTGTAATCTGGTATACTTATATGTATTTACATTTACATAAAATTAAAACAAGAGTTTTATAAAACTTACCATATGTGAGGAGATTGCTGGTCTATTCTAGTTTAATCTACACTGTTCTGTTCTTTTTTTTTCCTGAGATGGAGTCTTGCTTTTTTGCCCAGGCTGGAGTATAGTAGCGCTGTCTCAGCTCACTGCAACCTCTACCTCCCGGGTTCAAGTGATTCTCCTGCCTCAGCCTCCCAAGTAGCTGGGATTACAGGCGCCCACCACCACGCCTGTCTAATTTTTAGTAGAGATGGGGTTTCACCGTGTTGGCCAGGCTGGTCTCGAACTCCTGACCTCAAATGATCCGCCTGCCTTGGCATCCCAAAGTGCTGGGATTACAGGCATGAGCCACCGTGCCCAGCCTGTTCTGTTCTATCATTATAAGAAACTAAACTGATTTCATATATCTTAGTCTAAGGGTTCTGTACCAACTTAAAACATATACAATAAAATTTACTCCTCCATTATATGTTATTTACACTGCTTATAGAAAAGGAGAATGAAGAGGACAAAATCATTTATACTTTTCTTAAAATAAAGTTTGTTCAGAAAAAGATCTCTCCTGCCATTTCTTCCTTTTCAGAGCAATTACTTCAAGCTATTTTAGCTGATACTTTAGACATTTACTTCCATATCTTTAAATAGTATGTTTGTAAATGATACTTCTTGATTTTCCAGTTTTACCCATTATCTAATGCCTTCCCATGATGGAAACTAAGGATTTAACTTTCTTTTGTCTTTTGCTCTAACTTCTCCTTCTTCACATCCTCCATAAACGGTTGTAGCATACTTTTTATTATATCAGCAGAGTAATAACATAATCATAAATGTGGTTCACAGCTGAACTATTGTAATATTCTGTGATTATTTTTCCTTACCACCTTGGATTGTCTTATTTTTCCCCATTGCTTTCTTTTTTTTTTTTGAGACGGACTTTCACTCTTGTTGCTTAGGCTGGAGTGCAGTGGCGCGATCTTGGCTCACCAAAACTCTGCCTCCCAGGTTCAAGCGATTCTCCTGCCTCAGCCTCTTGAGTAGCTGGGATTACAGGCATGCACCACGACGCCCGGCTAATTTTGTATCTTTTAGTAGAGACGGGGTTTCTCCATGTTGGTCAGGCTGGTCTTGAACTCCCGACCTTAGGTGATCTGCCCACCTTGGCCTCCCAAAGTGCTGAGATTATAGGCGTGGGCCACTGTGGCTGGCCTGCTTTCTTTTTAATGTATTAATTACTAATTCAACCCCAGACTTCTCTCAGTTACCTAAAACTTTTATGAGTAACTTAAAAACAGTTGATAATCTATTAATACCATTGTGTTGAGGAAGTTGCTGCCAGAGCCTATTAAACCACTTTAATCTGGACTGGTTGCTCTCTGTCTTCGTACAGGTGTCCTCTTGCTGTCCTCCACCGTGCTAGGGTTCCTTTCCTCTCTTTCTTGCCTATGCAAGATTGCTATAGAATAAATATTTGTGTCTCCCCCAAATTCATACGTTGAAACCTAATCCCCAGTGTGGTAGTATTTGGTGGGGCCTTTGGGAGGTGATTAGGTCATGAAGGCAGAGTCCTCTTGAATGGGATTAGCACCCTTATGAAAAGACCCCAGGAAAAAAAAATAAAAATAAAATAAAAATGCCTCAGAGAGTTTCCTCACCCCTTCCACCATGTGAGGACACAGGAAGCAGGACCTCACCAGACACTGAATCTGCTAGCACTTTGATCTAGGACTCCCCAGCTTCCAGAACTGCGAGAAATAAATTTCTGTTATTTATAAGCCACCTGGTCTGATATTTTGTTATAGTCATCTGAACAGATTAAGACAAGGATCCGCTGTTTCCTGGATCCCATGCCTTTCTCTTCCTTAAAGAAATCCTTAAGGAGCTTCCTGAGAAAGGGTGCATAGAAGGTAAATTGTTTTGGATACTGCATATCTGAAAATATCTTCTATCTTCACTGTTGACATGGCTGTTAAAATTCCAATCTGGTAATCATTTTCCCTTTAAACTGAGGGCTTAGTTTCTTTATTCTAGCTTCCATTATGGATATTGAAAATTCCAGTGTAATTCTTGATCTTTTTTATGATTTTTTTTTTCCTTTCTGGAAGCATATAGGATCTTTTCATTTCCTCTAGTGTTCTGTTATTTCACCAATGATGTGTCTTGGTGCTGGCACTTGATGGGTTCTTTTAATATGTGAAGTTATATTTTTTAATTCTGGGAAAATTGATTTAGAAACTTTTTGATGATTTCTTCTCCAATTTCTTTGTTCACTCTTTCTGGGACTTTTAGGGTACAGTTATTGGGACTTCTGGATTAATCCTCTAATTTTCTAATCTTTGTTTCTTCAATTTTCTATTTCTTTGGTTTTTTGCTTCTTTTTGCAAGACTTCTTTAACTTTGTCTTCTAATCCTTTTATTGGATTTTTCATTTCCACTATCTTAATTTTTATAAGAACTGTTTCTGTGAAGCATCTTTTTTTTCATCAATGTAATATACACTCATCTCTTCATAAGAAAGTTGATGCTGTACTGAACACTATGGATAAGAAAATAATTTTTAAAAGAGTGTTAGTAATATTTCTTTTGAAAGAGTTTCCTTTGCTTAATGTTTGCTTCCTCTGAATTGGCTTTTAAAATTTCAGTTTGTTTTAATCTTTGTCTTTTAAATTAGACACTTTCCCTTAAAAGTCTATTGGTTTTTCACTCTTTGCTCTGTATTTAAGAATGGGGCACCAGAAAGTGAATTGGAGGTTATGTATGCATGGATATAGCCTATTGACTATGGTCTTCATCTTAGGGTTACCTGACTAGAACATTTTGTGAGGAAACTCCTGTTATCATATTATTTGTGTCTTTTCTCTTAGCCTGGTCAAATTCCCTAGAACAGTGGTCCCCAACTTTTTGGCACCAGGGACTGGTTTTGTGGAAGACAATTTTTCCACAGACTGGGGCTGGGGGAAGATGGTTTCAGGATGATTCAGGCACATTACAACTTATTGTGCACTTTATTTCTATTATTTTTACATTGTGATATGTAATGAAATAATTATACAACTCACCATAATGTAGAGTCAGTGGGAGCCCTGAACTTGTTTTCCTGCAACTATGCTGTCCCATCTGGGGGTGATGGGAGACAGTGACAGATCATCATGCATTAGATTCTCATAAGGAGCATGCAACCTAGATCCCTCTCATGCACAGTTCACAACAGGGTTTGTACTCCTATGAGAATCTAATGCTGCCCCTGATCTGACAGGAGGCAGCTCAGGTGGAAATGCGAACAATGGGGAGTGGCTGTAAATACAGATGAAGCTTCACTTGCTCTCGTGCCATCGCTCACCTCCTGCTGCGTGGCCTGGGGTGTTCCTAACAGGCCACGGACCAGTATCAGTTTGTGGCCTGGGGGATGGGGACTTCTGCCTTAGAAAACACACACTTCCTTCCAATCTGCTGCCTCAAGAGCTATCTGGCTGTTAGCAGCTATTGGAGCTGTGGAGAAGAAAGACTGGTGGGTATCTCAACATTTAATATACACATTTTTCCATATAGTAGCCACCCCTGACCCTTTCTCAACTGCACCTGGTATCCCAATAAACCCATTCCAGAGGCTCAGTTTTGTCATCATCAGAACAACTTCCAATCTTCTGCCCAGGTCAGAGAGGGTTCTGCCTAACCAGAAAGAGAGAGGGAATCTGTGGGTCTTCTTAAACACACTTTCAAGTAATCATCCTGTTTTTGGCTTCACCTTTACCTTCACCTTTAGAGGTACCTGGTATCAGCAGACTCTGTTGGCAGGGGAGGGGAGAAAGAGGAGAGAGTGATGTAAATCAAATTGCTTCTCAGTTTTCCTAGCTTTCTCAGGTGCAATAAAGATTTCTACTTTTTTATCTGTCTGCCAAAAAACAGAGTTTTATTGTTTTTGTCTTAGATACCATTCTGTTTGTTCTAAGGCTTATGCCTTAAATCACCACTGTCATTTTAGTGGAGTGGAACTAAATACCACTGTTCAATCCACTATCTTTAATTAGAAGACTCTGAGTCCTGTTTTTATTATTATTGATGTTTCTAACAAAGTGTTAACATAAATATTTTTGTTATAAACTCCACAAACACTTTTTCTTTTGAGACAGGGTCTCACTGTGTTGCCCAGGCTGGAATGCAGTGGCATGATCTTGGCTCACTGCAACGTCCGCCTTCTGGGCTCAAGCAATCCTCCTACCTCAGCCTCCCAAGTAGCTGGGACTGCAGGCATGCACCACCACACCTGGGTAACTTTTAAAACTTTTTGTAGAGATGGGGTCTTGCCATGTTGCCCAGGCTGGGCACAAACTTTTGAGAGGCACTATAATATAGTGGTTAAGAGTACAACCCTGGAACCAGATTGCTGGGTTCATGTCCTGGTTCCACCTTCCTGTATATCCTTGGGCAAGTTACTTAATCTCTCTATGCCTTAGCTTTCTCATTTAGAAATGAAAATGGTAACAGTAAACATCTCATAAAGTTGTTTGGAGAACTAAATATGAAGTGTTAGAAGATAGTTTTGCACGTATTAAGTGCTCAACAAACATTAGCCGTTATTATTTAAGTGGCTACATATATTCAATTAGATAGTGATAACTTAATTGGCTATTTTTCTATTACTGAACATTTAGGTTGTTTCCAACTTTTCTTTCTTGTTTTTTATTAGTAAATATTTTGTTGTAAACATCCGTTAACATAAAACTTTTTCTGCATCTAGGATTTTTTTCTTTTGAATAGATTCTTAGAAGTTGAGTCAGCATAGAATAGTGTATGACTTTTGAGACATTCTAAATTGTTTTTTGAAAGGATTGCTTCCATTTACATGTCTACCAGAACTATTTGAATGCCTCTTTTACAATTTTTTTTCTTTTTACTAGCACAGTACTCTTATTTTTAAAAAACTTCGGCTAATTTTATAGGTAAATATGTTATTTTATTTATTTATTTATTATTATTATTTTTTGAGACAGAGCCTTCCTGTGTTGCCCAGGCTGGAGTGCAGTCGTGCAATCTTGGCTCACTGCAACCTCTGCCTCCTGGGTTCGAGTGATTCTCATGCCTCAGCCTCCCTTGTAGCTGAGATTACAGGCATGTGCCATCATACCTAGCTAATTTTTGTATTTTTAGTAGAGATGGGGTTTCACCATGTTGACCAGGTTCGTTTCGAACTCCTGGCCTCAAGTGATCTGCCTGCCTCGGCCTCCCAAAGTGCTGAGGTTACAGGCGTGAGTTACTGCACCCAACCTCGTGTTATTTTAACATATACTTTTTTTAGATTACCATTGAGGTGTTCACTTTTAATCCAAAGAAAAAAGTGATTATTTTTATTTTGTATTTTAGCTCATTTAGAGATGTATGGTAAGCTGTTATGGAAAGCTCTTGTTTATTAACCTGTATACCTTCTTCCCTTTTCCTGATAACAGTACCTCACATTTCCTTAAGTAGTCCTTCTCACTTTCTCAGGCATGTGATATTTTTGAGATTAACCTGGATTGACCTCACTTCTAGCTCCAAAGATTACTCTTGTTGAACTGTGCGTCTGTCATTCTCCTAAGCTTATTAATTGGTTCAGGAATGGGAAGGTAATCCAAGTAGGCCTAAATGGGAACTTTAGGACTCTTGTCAGGACACAAACTCTCCTTTTCTTGGTGGAAAAAGATACAAGGAAGTATTTAGCCCCAGTAGCTGCCTATAGCCTTTTGGCATTATGAATTGACAGCCTATTGAGAATGTAGCCAATATTGAGGTAGCATAGGCAAACATTAAAAGATAACAATCCAGGTGCTGGTCACATTACTGGCCTGAAGTCAAACTTAATTTTAGACTTTTTAGTCAAATAAGCCAATACATTTACTTTTTGTCTTAAAGTCAGCTTAAGTTGTGTTTTCTATATTTGAAACAGGAAGTACCCTACTCACTGAATTAGCAGAAATGGCTAGAAAAGTGCTTCCTCCTTTTTTTTTTTTTTTTTTTGCCCCACATGAAGGCATAATTGGAAAATGATAACATAGTATTTGTATAGTGCAGAGAGGCAAGTGGACAAAGCTACTCTTCACTGGTTGCAACCAGCCCTAGGTGTTTTGGTCTTCCCAGGCTGTGCCTAGCAATTTGCAGTACTGAGAGAATCAATGACTATTAATACCTGTAACATATTCATGGAACATGAATACTTGTAATGTATTCATGGAACATTGTCCTAGCACATCAGTTGGAACTCTGGCCCAGAGATTATTTACTTAAGACCATAGGATTGATTACCATATGCTTTGCTTATTTGCTCCTTCCATAACACTCATAACTCCAGTTATACATTTTTAAAGTTTACCAAGTGGAGAAATACGTAATCTTCTTAATTGCTTGTCCTGGTTCATATTTTGGGAATATTTGCATATTTTTGGGTATTTAGCATCCGTTTTCTCTGATTTTTTTTTTCTTTTGAGAGGAAGTCTCACTCTTGTCCCCCAGGCTAGAGTGCAATGGCATGATCTCAGCTGACTGCAAGGTTCAAGCAATTCTCCTGCCTTAGCCTCCTAAGTAGCTGGGATTACAGGCGCCTGCCACCATGTCTGGCCCATTTTTGTATTTTTAGTAGAGACGGGGTTTCACCATGTTGGCCAGGCTGGTCACGAACTCCTGACCTCAGGTGATCCGCCTGCCTCAGCCTCCCAAAGTGCTGGGATTACAGGTGTAAGCCACCACTCCCGGCCTTCTCTGATTCTTAATACAAAAGATTACAACTGGCCTCAAGTTTCTCAGTTCCATTGTTAAGGCCAGATTACAGTGCTTACAGTTTTGCCTAGTTCTTTAACTCAGCATTTGATAAATTAAACAAGAAAACAAAAAAATATTTTTCTAGACAAGATTTAAATTTCCAGTACATATTTTAAAAACATCCAGTGACCAAATGAGCATTTGCATGCTCATGTTAATGTGTTTCAGTGATTGTCACACTTTAGTAATTTGTTAAAACACAGGATTGCTGGGCCTTAACCCCATTTTCTGACTCAGTAGATCAGAGAAAGGTTTGAGAATGTGCATTTCTAACAAGGTCTTAAGTGTTGCTGATATTGTTGGTCCAGGAACTGCACTTTGAAAACCACTTATTTATTTCATAATAATATGAAATGTTTTTGTTGTTGTTTTAACATGTTTTTATTATTAAGCAGATACGTAATATGGTTTTCTGCTCTTAACATAAAGAGATACTATTCCCAGATTCCAAAGATATTTGGCAAATGATTTTGAATGTAGAGTATTTAAGATAAATAGTGTATATATAGCAAGAAACACATACCAAGTCACATAACAAATGCACTTTAAAGTGTATTTCTGATAAATGAGTAACATTTTGACATTGACTTCCCATAGAAAATAGAAGGAACAGTTTGATGAAAATATTTTAGCCTTCTTTATTAATAAAAATCACAAATACAAATGTAGCAAACTTCTTAAATCACCACCTTAAATCTCTTTTGTAATATGTTGGAATATGAGTAATAGATAAGATCTGTTCAAAGAAATATACCTTTCTTATAAAATATTAGTAATGTTTAAAATATTATTATAAGTAATAATAACTTCTAAAAAGTCTCAATAGTATAGAAAGTGAAATCTGATGTAGTTGTAGATTTTTCCTGTATTTTCTTCAGAATTATTTATTAATTTACCCTGTTAGGGTTGTTAATCCAGCTAAAAATCTATTGTAAGCCTTCAACAGTGCTGATCTTTTAAAATATGAGCCTGTATTTTTGCATTAAACTTAACATTTATTGTCAGATTAGGAAACAGTTTTAGAAAAACTGGTTTTTATTTCTTCAAGGTTACACAGTGATGGCTGGGTGTGGTGGCTCACACCTATAATCCCAGCACTTTGGGAGGCTGAGGTGGACAGATCACTTGAGGTCAGGAGTTCAAGACCAGCATGGCCAACATGGCAAAACGCCATCTTTACTAAAAATACAAAAATTAGCCGGGTGTGGTGGCACATGCCTGTGTCCCAGCTACTTGGGAGGCTGAGGCGGGAGAATCACTTGAACACAGGAGGTGGAGGTTGCAGTGAGCTGAGATCTGAGATTGCACCACTACACTCCAGCCTGGGTGACAGAGGAAGACTCCGTCTCAAAAAAAAAAAAAAAAAGAAAGAAAAAAAAGATTACATACAGAAAGTAGTCAAGTTTTTTCTCAAGTCTAAGACTTCTAACTTTAAGTTCAATTATATATATATATATATATATATATATATATATACATGTGTATATATATATGTGTGTGTGTGTATATATATATATATATATATATATTTTTTTTTTTTAACCATACTCTGTAGGAAGAAATACTCTGTAAACCTCAGAGAAGCAATTTGAGGATCAAAGGAAAAATATAAGGGAAATTGCTTTGTTAGGTAAGGGGTTGTATATATACATATGTATATATATATGCTGTGGAGTTGGGGGAGTGAATGAAAGAAGAGTAAAACAGTTCTTGCCTTTCAGAAACATCCCATTGGAGAGGCATATTGAACATACAAAGAATTGGAGAATTCTTGTTAAACTATAGGGTTGAATTTAAGCACACAACATGGATTTAGAAAATGGAAGGGTTATTGTGGTTTAGAATAGCCAGGGAAGGGTTCCTGGAGAAAAGAGGCCTTGAAATGGGCATAAAAGATGGATAGATAAGTGGAGTGAGTAAAAAAATTATTCTAGGTACAGAGGTGAAAATGAGCACGGATTAGTAGGAGACAGTAAGGAAAGTGTAATAGAGGAAGTCTTTTGGGGGCAGAAGATTAAAGTTGAAAAGGGGGATGAAACTAGAAAGTGGGGAACCCTGAAATATTAGGCACAGGAATTTGGGCTTGATTTGTATACAAAAAGAACTCTTTGAGTTTGGAAATTGATGAGGTTTAGGTGATGTTTTGCAAAATAATTCTGGAGAAAATATGCACAATAGATTGAAGTGGGAGAGAAGATTAAATAAAGGGATAACAGGAAAAGGTGATTATAATTCATGTCTGAGGTAATGAGGGTCTGACTAGATTGATAGCAGTAGGAGTAGTGATGCAGAATGAATCTAAGAGCAAATTAGAAGGAAGAACAAACCGGTCCATTTAGAGATTAGATTTAGGGGATGAAGGAGAAAGTGAAAGTGACAGTGTAGTTGACAGAGAAAGTGAACAAGAGGTGGAGAAGCAGAGAGAGAGAAAGAGAAAGATGTCAAAGATTTTGTGAATGTTCATTGGAGATTAAAATAGAATACATGATACTACTGACCGCAATGAAATTAAAAAGATTTGAGAGAGAAGAAAAAGTACAAATTTTGATTTGTTAAATCTGATGTGAAAAAATGCAAGTGAGTACTTTAGAAATTGCTGAAGATGAAGTGGGAGTCTTTCACATGGCAGTTGTGTGATAGAACTTTGGAGCTGGAAGTAAATTAAGAGATAAAATAAGAAAGTAGGTACAAAAAGGGCAAAGCATGTGAAAACATAGCTACCTATTAACAGATTTGTTAATATTAAAGGATTCCCAATCTGTTGCTCTTTGAATGAAGCAGAGGTCACTAACTAAGTACCCTCAGGGACTAGGTGAGATAAATTTATTTAATATTCAACTAATATTTATTTAATCTCATGTATTATGCTATATCTGGTCATGTCCTAGGTGCTGAAGACACAGCATGGCCAAAGTAGAAGAGATTTTGACCTCACAAAGCTAGTATTTTAAAGGAGGAGGTATAATAAATAAAATTAACACATAATCAACATAAGATAATGTAGGATAATGTTAAGTGCTCTGGAGAAAATAAAACAGGATAGATAATATGCTAAAGAGTGATTAGGTGTGGTGCTTACTGAAGAAGTAACATTTGACCTGAGACTGCAGAAACATAAAGGAAATTCTGTATAAAGATATGGATATAGAGCATTCCAGACAGAAGGAACAGCAAGCCTATAGGCCTTAAAGCTGGAATAAATTTGGTATATTTTTGAACTGAAAGATTTATTCAGTGTCTATTGTGTGCCAAATATTTTGCTAGGCTCTGGGGGATACAACAGTGGCTAAAGTGACAACACTGGCTCCCAAAGCTGAGTGGCAAAGAAATCATCTACATTTGATGCACCATCTGGTAGACAGTTCTATTGGTAAATTGATGTATTTAATGTAAATGATAAACTATATAAACATATAATTTTTAAAATGTTATTTTTTCCTCATATTTTTTGTCAGAGAATATTTAAGGCCTAGATAGATACCACTTTTTCCAAAACACTCACCTTAAAACCTTCCTGTGGACAGAATTAATTGCTTTGTCATTTGTATTTTTATAGGCACTTTGTACATGTTTCTGTTCTAGTGCTTATCACACTGTTGGTTTCCATGTCTGTCTCTCCAACCAGATTGTGAACTCTATCCTGAAGTACTTGCATTGTGCTGTACCTATGCTAGGAAGCTAATCAGTGTTTCTTTAATCAACTGCTCTATGAAATTATAAGAAATAATAAATCATTGTTTTACATAATTAAGTTGGGTATTATTTGTTATACAGCCATAGATTCAATGTTTTTATTTTTTTATTTTTTTAATTCTGCTGTCCACATTGTTTCTTTTCTCCAAATTCCTTTTCTTATATTTGCTTTTCATCTCTTCCATGGTTTTCTGAAATGCCATCATGTATTCTTTGAGGACCAATGTTATTCAAGGTGTCCTATGCACTAGAGTTTATATAATTAAATAGGAGGTGAGTTTTGAAATCCTTTTTAGAACTTTAAATTAAACATAATAGATTGACCACATCCATTTATTTTTCTCACGTTCATTAAAATGCATAAAAAGGGTTTTAACTCACAGAGACAAGAGAGAATAGACAATGATTTAACAGAATCTGTCAGAAAGCAAATAGAGGAGCATTGTGACTGACTTAAAAGTTCAGAAGTTTGCTTAGCACTTGGAAACAACAGGTACTTTGTAAGGCAAGGAATAAGACTTGGGAATAAAAAGGGAGACTTGTTGAAAATATATCTATAGAGTACTTGAACCTTTCCAGGTCTCCTTCCCTGCAGAAGATGAGAAGTTTGTGTGCTGGAAAAATGGATCCATGGCAATTCTAGTTAGGAGTACACCAGATAAAGCAAGGGAAAGGGATGACGCATGGGGCTGAAAATGAAAATTAAGTAAAAATCTTCTCATTGAACTGTGGAATCCTTACTTTCTACTATCATCTTCTATCAGAAGGCATACTGCCAGATAAAACCCCCTACCGTCTTCTCTTAAACTTCAGGACAAGAAAATGGAGAGTTCTCTGGGGAAAATGAAACACCTGAGAGAAAACATGTCTACATATTGACATTAGGGAGGTGAACCCCTAATGAAAAATCTGTTTTGTTACCTGATCACCCAGTAGTGAAACCTATCAATCAATAAGCCCTCCCTCAGTGCTTCTATTCATTTTTTTTTTTTTGAGACAGCATCTTGCTCTGTTACCCAGGCTGGAGGGCAGCAATGCGATCATAGCTCACTGTTACCTCGAACTCCTGGGCTCAAGTGATTCTCCAACCTCAGCCTCCCAAGTAACTGGGAGATGTGTGCCACCATGCCTGACTTTGTGTGTGTGTGTGTGTTTGTGAAGATGGGGGTCTCACTGTATTTCCCAGGCTTGTCTTGAACTCCTGGATTCAAGTGATCCTCCTGCCTCAACCTTCCAAAATTCTGAGATTACAGGTGTGAGCCACCACTTATGGCCCCATTCAATTTTTAATGTATCATTCCACTTTTTAAAAATAGCTTTTTCATTGAGATGTAGTTTCCATATCATATGGTTGACTCATTCAAAGTGTGCAATTCAATAATTTTTGGTATATTCACAGTTGTTTATCCATCACCACAATCAATTTTAGAACATTTTAATACCTCAAAAAGAAACCCCATACTCATTAGCAGTCATTCACTATTCCCCTGCAATCCTGCTTCAACCCCCCAACCTAAGCAAATACAGATCTACTTTATGTCCTGTGGATTTGCTTATTCTGGACATTTCATATATGTTGAATCATTAAATATGTGGCCTTTTGTGATTGACTTCTTTCATTTAGTGTAACATTTTCAAGGTTCATCCATGTTGTTGCATGTGTCATTACTTCACCCCTTCTTATTGTGGACTAACATTCTATTTTATAGATATGCTACATTTTATTTATCCATTCACCAGTTGATAGGCATTTGAGTTGTTTCCATTTTTTGGCTATTATGAATAATGCTTTTATGAATATTTATGTGTAGTGTTCTCTTGGGAATCTAAATGGAATTGCTGAGTCATATGGTAACTTTATGTTTAACCTTTTGAGGAACTACCTGGGCTGTTTTCTGGTTGCACCATTTTATATTCCCACCAGCAGTTTATGAAGGTTCCAATTTCTCACATCCTTGTCAACACTCATTATTATTTGTCTTTTTGATTATAGTGTGTCATTCTATTTTCAAACTTCAATAGTTCAAATAATAGAATAACTAACACCTTTATAACCTTACCTAGATTTCACCAGTTATTAAAAATCTGCTATATTTGTTTTATCTCTTTATATACCTCTCTTTCCTGAACCTGTTGAAAGTAACTTGTAAGCATCATGATACTTTGCTCTGAGATACTTGAAGCTTGTATCTCCTTAAACAAGGACAAGTATGTTCTGCTTTATAGCCATCTAAGAAATCTAGTATTGATTCAGGAATATTATCTCAATATACTATACTCAATATTCAAATTTCCTCCTTTTTCCTCCAAATGCCCTCAATAGCTATTTGTTTTTTCTATCTAGGATCTAATTAAAGTTCCCACATTGCATTTGGTAGTCATTTTTTTTTGTTGTCCTTTAATCTAGAACAGTCCCCCTGCTTTTGTTTTTTATAATATTGACTAATGCATTACTTATAAATATAAACAGACAGCTGGGAATCGTCTGACATTTGAGAAAACCATGAAAGAGATGAAAACCAAATGGGAGAAAAGGAACTTGGAGAAAAGAGACAATGTAGAGAGCAGAATAAAAAAAATTAAACTAAAAATATTGAATCTGTGGCTGCATAGCAAATCACCTCCAACTTAATGGTTTAAAATAACAGTGATTTATTATTTCTCATAATTTCGTGAGTTTGTTGGAATGTTTTTCTGCTGGTCTTGCCTAGGCTCTGTTGCAACTGCACCTGAGTTTGTAGATTGTTGTGGGGGTTAGCCCCAGCTGGGACATTTGGGATGGCTGGGCCTCCTCTCTCCATGTAGTCTTTGATTCTGAACTTCTCGTTCTTTGTATAACATGGCATGGCAGGTTCAGAGCAACATTTTCAAAGAGCAAAGACTTCAAGGCCTACTGACCAAAACAAATTGTAAGGCAATCCTAGTGGAGACATAGATTTCATCTCTGGAAGGGAGAAGTGACCCTATCACATTTCAAATGAGATGATGGGAGGAATTTGTCACCATTAAGCAATTTATCAGTTTACCTCTTTTACATTTCTCACACAAGCAAATCATGTTCACCTTCGTCCCAAGACTTCCAAAAATCTCAACCCCAAACAGTATTGGGCTCAAAGTCCATCGGTTTGAATGTGGTTCATGCTCTTTGGCTGCAGCTTGTCAAGTGTAGCTCCTCTTGATCCAGAGATCTATGGACTAAAAAATTATTTGCCTCTTACACATTCAATACACAGTGGTGAGACAGGGACATGATAATCACAGTAGATGCTTTCATTCAAAAAGGGGAGGAATAGTGGCATTTAGCAGTCACTAGTTCATGGCATTTCTGAAATGCAAGTGGGCACAAGTTATCAGGGGCATGGGATGTTTCTTGATTAGGTCTCCATTCTGCAACCCGGGAGTGGTCCCCTAGTACATTGTTTTCATCTTGGCCATACCTCTGGATTCTTGGCTTAGCTGTTTGAAAGGCCTTTCCTTTTCCATAAAACATGGCCTCTGTTTGCAAATGGGTGGTTGTTTTAGTCTTGTTTTCTACCCATTGTTCTTTGATGATCCAAAGGCCTCTTCATTTTTAACTGTGTCAGTCCCTTTTAGTCCAAGCTGGCAGTGCTGCTGCCAGTACAATTTTTAAAAAACTGAAACCAAACAAACACAAAACTTTCTGTGGTTTCTATGAATCTTTTCTCCAAAGCCAATCTTTTTAGGACTGATTTCTCCTACCTTGGGCATGTCAGGATGCTCTAAGATAACGCCCTTGAGATCCTTGTATAAGGCTGCCTTGAATTTTTCCATGGTCTTAAAATGTTCTTAACATTCTTACCTGTGTTTTGATATTTATTTGAGCTATTTCTTACTGTGAAAACTTTTGTTGATTGGATGTTAAACGATTTTATTTTCCAACCCAGCACATCTTGGGCCTTTTTGTATAGTATATCCTCCAAAGTTGACTTATGAACCTGAACAATTTCTTTTTGACTTCATCTCTCTCCCCGTATTTTCAATATTCAGCTAAAAAAAAGTCAGTTTACACTTCCAGTATTCTGCCTAGAAGTCACCTTAGTCAGATCCACAATTTGATTAGGTACATTTTCTATCTTTCAAGTTACTGCAGACAATGCTTTGTCCAGTTATTTCTGGACGTCTTTGCAGACTCCAGTAACAGTTTCTTTATTGCTTTTCCAGTTTCCATAAACAGTCTCTCTGCCACCCTCTTTGTGATTGTGGAATTTTTTTCATAGCATCCTTGTTTTGTTCTAGAAACACAAGAACCTCTCTTACCTGGTAATTATTTATATATTGTTACATATTGTTTAATGGGCACAAATTCTTCCCATCGTGTATCTACACCCCTTTACCATGTGATCTTGTTTCTCCCATCTAGAATTGGAATCAATTTCTTCACCCCTTTGAATCTAGGATAGCTTTATGAAATGCTTTAGTTAATAGAATGTGGCAGAATTGACACTGTATGAGCTCTACAGTGTAGGCTTCAAGAGGCCTTGCAGTTTCTACCTTTGAACTCTTAAAAATACTCCCCAGAGATCACCATGCTATGAAGAAGTCTGGGGTGAAAACCATGTGAAGAAAGAGACCCATAAGTTCCAGCATTTCCAGCTGAGTTCAGCCCTAACTAAGCAAATCTAACAACTGAATAAACTTGTATAAAACAGCCTATATAAAACCAGCAGACAAACAACCCAGCCAGTCCACAAAATGATGACAAATAATAAATTACTGCTGTAAGCCATTAAGTTTTGGGTGGTTTGTTATACAGCAATAACTAATACAGAAATCAGTGCTGGAAGTGAAAGGATACCATAATACAAATCTAAAATATATGCCACTGGCTTTGGGAGGTTACAAAGATTCCAGATATAAAATGTGTTGTGTAATAAAATAGTTACATATTGTAATGGTTGCTCAGCAATATGAAGGGACCACTTTAATTAGTGAGATCAAAATGACTTCTTGGAGGAAGAGATATTTTAGTGGATCATTGAAGGATGGGTAAGATTTTGACAGATAAAAATGAGAGTAGGGATATACATGGAAGAGAGCAATTGCTGAGTCATAGAGATGTCTAGTGGATTGTTTAAATGGCCACAATTTCTCCCCTCTCTATAGTAACACTCTTTGAAATGCTCCTTTTGTGTCTTCCTACATCAAAAGATGGAGTATATTTCTCCATCCCTTGAATCTTTGCTGGTTTTGTGATTTGCTTTGTTGAATAGAATGTGACAGGAGCAGTGTTACTCCATATCTGAACCTGGGTCTCAGAAAGCCTTGAATGTTCTGCTCTTCCTCTTGGAACCCAGTCCAGCCACTATATAAACAAACCAAGTCTACCTTACTATATGAGAGGTATGTGGTCCAGTTGTCCTTGTACCACAGTGGACAGCGAATCCCTAGAAACAGACTTTTCAGACAGACAGCTGATCACAGACTCATTAATAAACCCAGCAGAGAACAGAGGAACCACCTAGCTGAGCCCAGTACAAATTAGCAATCCTAAGAATCCTGAGCTAAATAAAACAAAAGAAATTTAAATCATTGTTATTTTAAGTCATTATGTTTTGGGGAGGTTTGTTACACAGATAAAGGGTGTATATCTTCAACGTAATACTAACAAACTGTTTTCCAAAGTGGTCTTACCTGTTTACACACTGATGGTATCTGGGAGTTCCTATTGGTTCATTTCTTTACTAATACTTGGTAATGTCAAACTTTTAAATTTTTGACTGACCTGGTATGTTGTGGAATCTTGGCATTTTAATTTGCATATCCTTGATTACTAATGAAGCTAGTACCTTTTCCTGGGTGTATTGGCCATTTGGATATCCTCTTTTATGAAGTACTTGTTCAGACATCTTGCAGATTTCTCTATGTGTTTGTCTTTGTCTTTGTCTCTTTTCTTTCTTTTATTTTTTTGAGATGGAGTCTCACTCCGTCGCCTATGGTGGAGTGCAGTGGCACGATCAAGGCTCACCACAGTCTCAAACTCCTGGTCTCAAGTGACCCTTCCACCTCAGACTCCCCAGTAGCTGGGACTACAGGGGTGCACAACCACACCTGGCTAAGTGTATTCTTCCAGAATAAATTTTCATTTGCATCTGCAAAGTTCTTATGGGCATTATCAATCTGGAAGCATTTTAAATTATATTAATAGATTGAGGTTTCTTTCACTATCCAATGAAGCAGCTTTTATTTAAAAATTAATATGAAATTAAACTGTTTACAACTTTCTGGGATAAGACTTTTTTTCCTCTTTGCTTTCTTTTTTTATTTTATTTTATTTTTTATTACTATACTTTAGGTTCTAGGATGCATGTGCACAACGTGCAGGTTTGTTACATATGTATACATGTACCATGCTGGTGTGCTGCACCCATTAACTCGTCATTTATGTTACGTATATCTCCTAATGCTATCCCTGCCCACTCCCCCAACCCCATGACAGGCCCTGGTGTGTGATGTTCCCCTTCCTGTGTCCGAGTGTTCTCATTGTTCAATTCCCACCTATGAGTGAGAACATGTGGTGTTTGGTTTTCTGTCCTTGTGATAGTTTGCTGAGAATGATGGTTTCCAGCTTCATCCATGTCCCTACAAAGGACATGAACTCATCCTTTCTTATGGCTGCATAGTATTCCATGGTGTATATGTGCCACATTTTCTTAATCCAGTCTATCATTGATGGACATCTGGGTTGGTTCCAAGTCTTTGCTATTGTGAATAGTGCCGCAATAACCATACGTGTGCATGTGTCTTTATAGCAGCATGCTTTATAATCCTTTGGGTATATACCCAGTAGTGGGATGGCTGGGTCAAATGGTATTTCTAGTTCTAGATCCTTGAGGAATCGCCACACTGACTTCCACAATGGTTGAACTAGTTTACCGTCCCACCAACAGTGTAAAAGTGTTCCTATTTCTCCACATCCTCTCCAGCATCTGTTGTTTCCTGACTTTTTAATGGTTGCCATTCTAACTGGAGTGAGATGGTATCTCACTGTGGTTTTGATTTGCATTTCTCTGATGGCCAGTGATGATGAGCATTTTTTCATGTGTCTTTTGGCTGCATAAATGTCTTCTTTTGAGAAGTGTCTGTTCATATCCTTTGCCCACTTTATGATGGGGTTGTTTGTTTTTTTCTTGTAAATTTGTTTGAGTTCTTTGTAGATTCTGGATATTAGCCCTTTGTCAGATGAGTAGATTGCAAAAATTTTCTCCCATTCTGTAGGTTGCCTGTTCACTCTGATGGTAGTTTCTTTTGCTGTGCAGAAACTCTTTAGTTTAATTAGATCCCATTTGTCAATGTTGGCTTTTGTTGCCATTGCTTTTGGTGTTTTAGACATGAAGTCCTTGCCCATGCCTATGTCCTGAATGGTATTGCCTAGGCTTTCTTCTAGAGTTTTTATGGTTTTAGGTCTAACATTTACGTCTTTAATCCATCTTGAATTAATTTTTGTATAAAGTGTAAGGAAGGGATCCAGTTTCAGTTTTCTACATATGGCTAGCCAGTTTTCCCAGCACCATTTGTTAAATAGGGACTCCTTTTCCCATTTCTTGTTTTTGTCAGGTTTGTCAAAGATCAGATGGTCGTAGATGTGTGGTATTATTTCTGAGGGCTCTGTTCTGTTCCATTGGTCTATATCTCTGTTTTGGTACCAGTACCATGCTGTTTTGGTTCCTGTAGCCTTGTAGTATAGTTTGAAGTCAGGTAGCGTGATGCCTCCAGCTTTGTTCTTTTGGCTTAGGATTGCCTTGGCAATGCGAGCTCTTCTTTGATTCCATATGAACTTTAAAGTAGTTTTTTCCAATTCTGTGAAGAAAGTCATTGGTAGTTTGATGGGGATGGCATTGAATCTATAAATTACCTTGGGCAATATGGCCATTTTCACGATATTGATTCTTCCTATCCATAAGCATGGAATGTTGTTCCATTTGTTTATGTCCTCTTTTATTTCATTGAGCAGTGGTTTGTAGTTCTCCTTGAAGAGGTCCTTCATGTCCCTTGTAAGTTGGATTCCTAGGTATTTTATTCTCTTTGAAGCAATTGTGAATGGGAGTTCACTCATGATTTGGCTCTCTGTTTGCCTGTTATTGGTGTATAAGAATGCTTGTGATTTTTGCACATTGATTTTGTATTCCTGAGTTTGCAGATTCAGTTTGCTGAAGTTGCTTATCAGCTTAAGGAGATTTTGGGCTGAGACGATGGGGTTTTCTAAATATACAATCATGTCATCTGCAAACAGGGACAATTTGACTTCCTCTTTCCCTAACTGAATACCCTTTATTTCTTTCTCCTGCCTGATTGCCCTGGCCAGAACTTCCAACACTATGTTGAATAGGAGTGGTGAGAGAGGGCATCCTTGTCTTATGCCAGTTTTCAAAGGGAAGGCTTCCAGTTTTTGCCCATTCAGTATGATATTGGCTGTGGGTTTGTCATAAATAGCTCTTATTATTTTGAGATATGTTCCATCAATACCGAATTTATTGAGAGTTTTTAGCATGAAGGGCTGTTGAATTTTGTCACAGGCCTTTTCTGCATCTATTGAGATAATCATGTGGTTTTTGTCTTTGGTTTTGTTTATATGCTGGATTACGTTTATTGATTTGCATATGTTGAACCAGCCTTGCATTCCAGGGATGAAGCCCACTTGATCATGGTGGATAAGTTTTTTGATGTGCTGCTGGATTCGGTTTGCCAGTATTTTATGGAGGATTTTTGCATCGATGTTCATTAAGGATATTGGCCTAAAATTCTCTTTTTTTGTTGTGTCTCTGCCAGGCTTTGGTATCAGGATGATGCTGGCCTCATAAAATGAGTTAGGGAGGATTCTCTCTCTTTCTATTGATTGGAATAGTTTCAGAAAGAATGGTACCAGCTCCTCCTTGTACCTCTGGTAGAATTCGGCTGTGAATCCATCTGGTCCTGGAGTTTTTTTGTTTGGTAGGCTCTTAATTATTGCCTCAATTTCAGAGCCTGTTATTGGTCTATTCAGAGATTCAACTTCTTTCAGAGATTCAGCCTTCTGCTGGCTTTTGAATGCATTTGCTCTTGCTTCTCTAGTTCTTTTAATTGTGATGTTAGGGTGTCAATTTTAGATCTTTCCTGCTTTCTCTTGTGGGCATTTAGTGCTATAAATTTCCCTTTACACACTGCTTTAAATGTGTCCCAGAGATTCTGGTATGTTGTGTCTTTGTTCTCATTGTTTTCAAAGAACATCTTTATTTCTGCCTTCATTTTGTTATAGACCCAGTAGTCATTCAGGAGCAGGTTGTTCAGTTTCCACGTGGTCGAGCAGTTTTGAGTGAGTTTGTTAATCCTGAGTTCTAGTTTGATTGCACTGTGGTTTGAGAGACAGTTTGTTATAATTTGTTCTTTTACATTTGCTGAGGAGTGCTTAACTTCCAACTATGTGGTCAATTTTGGAATAAGTGTGATGTGGTGCTGAGAAGAATGTATATTATGTCGATTTGGGGTGGAGAGTTCTGTAGATGTCTCTTAGGTCCACTTGGTGCAGAGCTGAGTTCAATTCCTGGATATCCTTTTTAACTTTCTGTCTCATTGAGCTGTCTAATGTTGACAGTGGGGGTGTTAAAGTCTCCCATTATTATTGTGTGGGAGTCTAAGTCTCTTTGTAGGACTCTAAGGACTTGCTTTATGAATCTGGGTGATCCTGTATTGGGTGCATATATATTTAGGATAGTTAGCTCTTCTTGTTGAATTGATCCCTTTGCCATTATATAATGGCCTTCTTTGTCTCTTCTGATCTTTGTTGGTTTAAAGTCTGTTTTATCAGAGACTAGGATTGCAACCCCTGCTTTTTTTTGTTTTCCATTTGCTTGGTAGATCTTCCTCCATCCCTTTATTTTGAGCCTATGTGTGTCTCTGCACATGAGATGGGTCTCCTGAATACTGCACACTGATGGGTCTTGACCCTTTATCCAACTTGCCAGTCTGTGTCTTTTAATTGGAGCATTTAGCCCATTTACATTTAAGGTTAATATTGTTATGTGTGAATTTGATCCTGTCATTATGATGTTAGCTGGTTATTTTGCTTGTTAGTTTACGCAGTTTCTTCCTAGCATCGATGGTCTTTACATTTTGGCATGTTTTTGCAGTGGCTGGTACTGGTTGTTCCTTTCCATGTTTAGTGCTTCGTTCAGGAGCTTTTGTAGGGCAGGCCTGGTGGTGACAAAATCTCTCAGCATTTCCTTGTCTGTAAAGTATTTTATTTCTCCTTCATTTATGAAGCATAGTTTGGCTGGATATGAAATTCTGGGTTGAAAATTCTTTTCTTTAAGAATGTTGAATATTGGCCCACAGTCTCTTATGGCTTGTGGAGTTTCTGCTGAGAGATCTGCTGTTAGTCTGATGGGCTTCCCTTTGTGGGTAACCCGACGTTTTACTCTGGCTGCCCTTAACATTTTTTCCTTCATTTCAACTTTGGTGAATCTGACAATTATGTGTCTTGGAGTTGCTCTTCTCGAGGAGTATCTTTGTGGTGTTCTCTGTATTTCCTGAATTTGAATGTTGGCCTGCCTTGGTAGGTTGGGGAAGTTCTCCTGGATAATATCCTGAAGTGTGTTTTCCAGCTTGGTTCCATTCTCCCTGTCACTTTCAGGTACACCAATCAGACATAGATTTGGTCTTTTCACATCGTCCCATATTTCTTGGAGGCTTTGTTCATTTCTTTTTACTGTTTTTTCTATAAACTTCTCTTCTCGCTTTGTTTCATTCATTTGATCTTCAATCACTGATACCCTTTGTTTCAGTTGCTCAAATCCGTTGCTGAAGCTTGTGCATTCGTCATGTAGTTCTCGTGCCATGGTTTTCAGCTCCATCAGGTCATTTAAGGACTTCTCTACACTGGTTATTCTAGTTAGCCATTTGTCTAATCTTTTTCAAGGTTTTTAGCTTCTTTGTGATGGGTTTGAACTTCCTCCTTTAGCTTGGAGAAGTTTGATCATCTGAAGCCTTCTTCTCTCAAATCGTCAAAGTCATTCTCCATTCAGCTTTGTTCCTTTGCTGGCGAGGAGCTGCGTTCCGTTGGAGGGGGAGAGGTGCTCTGATTTTTAGAATTTTCAGCTTTTCTTCTCTGTTTTTTTCCCATCTTTTTGATTTTATCTACCTTTGGTCTTTGATGATGGTGACATACAGATGGGGTTTTGGTGTGGATGTCCTTTCTGTTTGTTAGTTTTCCTTCTAACAGTCAGGACCCTCAGCTGCAGGTCTGTTGGAGTTTGCTGGAGGTCCACTCAAGACCCTTTCAGGTACACCAGACCCTGTTTGCCTGGGTATCAGCAGCGGAGGCTGCAGAACAGCGAATATTGCTGAACAGCAAATGTTGCTGCCTGATCGTTCCTCTGGAAGGTTTGTCTCAGAGGGGTACCCGGCCATGTGAGGTATCAGTCTGCCCCTACTGGGGGGCCTCCCAGTTAGGCTACTCAGGGGTCAGGGACTCACTTGAGGAGGCAGTCTGTCCGTTCTCAGATCTCAAACTCTGTGCTAGGAGAACCACTACTCTCTTCAAAGCTGTCAGACAGGAACAGTGAAATCTGCAGAGGTTGCTGCTGCCTTTTGTTCGGCTATGCCTTGCCCACAGAGGTGGAGTCTACAGAGGCAGGCAGGCCTCCTTGAGCGACGGTGGGCTCCACCCAGTTTGGGTTTCCTGGCTGCTTTGTTTACCTACTGAAGCCTCAGCAATGGTGGGCGCCCTTCCTCAGGCTCACTGCCGCCTTGCAGTTAGGTCTCAGACTGCTGTGCTAGAAATGAGCGAGGCTCCATGGGTGTGGGACCCTCCGAGCCAGGCGCAGGATATAATTTCCTGGTGTGCCGTTTGCTAGGACCCTTGGAAAAGTGCAGTATTAGGGTGGGAGTGACTCGATTTTCCAGGTGCTGTGTGTCATGGCTTCCCTTGGCTAGGAAAGGGAATTCCCTGACCCCTTGCACTTCCTGGGTAAGGCGATGCCTCACCCTGCTTCCACTCTCACTCGGTGTGCTGCACCCACTGTCTGACATGCCCCAGTGAGATGAACCCAGTACCTCAGTTAGAAATGCAGAAATCACCCGTTTTCTGCGTCGCTCATGCTGGGAGCTGTAGACTGGAGCTGTTCATATTTGGCCATCTTTCTCCTCTTCTCTTTCTTTGTCTCTCCCTCCCTTTTCTTTTCCTTTACGCTTTATTTGCTTGACACCAAGGCACCTCTCCTGTAGAAGGTGGGTTACTTTTGGTTCAGCCTTACCTGAGAGTTTAACTCTTTTGAATTCTACTTAATGTAGTGAGTCTCTTATTAGACTTTGGTAAGCCCTAAGTTTGAATTCCATACATTTTAAATCAGACTCCATAAGAGCTATAGTTTAATTTTGCTTCATTTGCCAAATGCCCACAGGGTAAAGATAGCTGTTAGTGCTTGGTCTGCTTCTTGGTTCTTGGTCTCTTTCAGAATTTAGAATTTGATTCCATAATTTTTTATTATCTTTTCAGTCTTTGATGCTTTTGAGAAGATTTTAAAATGTTTTATTTAGAATTTTTAGTTATTTTTAGTAGGAGGATTGGTCCAAATAACATATCTCATCATTTTCAGTAATGGAAATTTTCCTTTTAGAAAGTTTCTTTCAGGCACACTGCTGTTAATTTTATGTGTCAACTTGGCTAGGTTGTAGTACCCAGATATTGGGTCAAACAGCAGTCTACATAATGTTGTGAAGGTATTTTATGGCTGTGATTAACATTTAAATCAGCAGACTTTGAGTAAAGCAAATTACTCTCCATAATGTGGGTGGGCCTCATCCAATCAGTTGAAGGCCTTAAGAGAAAAAGGTTAGGGTTGTCCAAGGAAGTGGGAATTTTGCTTCCAGACTGCTTTTGGACTTGAGCTACAACATCCACTCTTTCCTGAGTCTCTAGCCTGCTGGTCAGCCCTAAAGATTTCAGAGTTGTCAGCCGCCACAATTGTGTAAGCCAGTTCCCTAAAATCTCTCTCTCTCTGCGTGTGTGTGTGTAGGTCTGTGTCTATATATATGTGCATATGAGTCTTTTGCACATATATACATACACCCCCCCATATATACACACACATACCCATCCTATTCTGTTTCTCTGGAGAATGCTTATTAGTATAATACTTATCAGAATGGCTAAAATAAAAACAATAGTGATAACAGCAAATGCTGGTGGAAATTTGGAGAAACTGTATTACTTGTACATTGCCAGTGGGAATGGAAAATGGTACAGCCACTCTGGAAAATAATGTGGCAGTTTCCTTTACAACTAAAAATGGACTCAATATTCACTCAACCCAACAATTTTACTCTTGGGCGTTTATCTCTAAGGAATGAAAAATTATGGTCACAGAGAAATGTGTACATAAATGTTTATAGCACCTTTATTCATAATAGTCACAAACTGGAAACTACTAAAATGTTATTCAGTGGGTGAGTAGTTCAGTAAATAATACATTCATACCATGAAATACTACTAAACAATAAAAAGGAATGAATTACTGATACATGTAACAATCTGGATGAACCTTAAAAAAAAAGCTATAGGTTACATGATGTGTGATTCCATTTATGAGCACTCTTGAAACAACAAAATTACGGAGATAGATAACAGATTAGTATTTTCTCAGAGTTAAGGATGGGGGAAGAGAGTGGGTATGACCACAGAGAAGCTGCTTGAAGAAGCTTGTATTGATGCTAGAGTTCTGTATCTTAAATTGAGGTCATAGTTATATGAAGCTATAAATATGATAAACTTGCCAAAAGCATATATACACACAGACACATGCACACAAATAAGTACATGTATAACTGGTAAAGTGCTAATAAGCTCCGTGGATTGTACCAAAGTCAGATGCACATTTTTAATATTGTACTCTTGTTATACAAGATGTTAACATTTGCGGGGGTTATTGAGAGAATGGTGTATAGGACTTCACCGTACATTCTTTTGCAACTACCTGTGAATTGATCATTGTTTCATACTGAAAAGTTGAAAAGTTTCTTGCAGCCTGACTCATACATTTTCTGGGTTGAGAAAAATATTTAACTATCTTGGTTTTTAATAAAAGGCAATTTTTCCAGCCTTCGTCTTCCAACTATGTTGAGTTTAAAGATTGCATGTTACTATTCATATCATCTTTGCAAAGAAGCTTTATGTCAAGGCAAAGTTTAGGAAGCAGAATGTGTATCCCAGCTTTGGCATGAAGCAACTTGCCTGCAACATCATGAACCCAGCCTTTAGAAGATGGGTCTTTAGGGGAAGAAAATTTAGCCTTTGAGGGTACTCAGCTACCAGAAAAAGCTTCAACCATAGGGAAACAGAATAATACCATTTTTGCTAAGTGTTTTTTTGGTCAACATTAGAGTGGAGTGATGACACAACTGTTATTCAGTGCTGAAATTGGAGGATTATGGGATACAGGTTGTTATATTTTTATGGTAACTATGCTTTTACTTGAAAAACCTAGATAATTTTTTTTCAGTTAAGACCTTTTTACATTACAGGAAATAAATATTAATATGGAAAGCAACTTCAATACTGAGTCATCATCTACTTTTACTCTTCAAAGTTCTTCAGAGACATTGTTTTCTATTCAGCTATTAGATTTCAAAACAAGTTTACTGGAGGCATTAGAAGAATTGCGTATGAGAAGGGTAAGCTCCTTTTTAAAATGCTTTTGTTAAATAAGAAAACTTGATTTTGTTCAGTTTATTGTTTTTTAAAGAATAAAAAGCCTAAAAAATCCCTCTTGTTTAGAAATAAAATATATAGTCCAATTAATGAAGTAAAAGAGAATAGGACAGATTAAGTAAATGATCAGGGAATGGGAAATAAGAATTTGGAAACTAAAGCACAAAATAAAAGAAGAGTTTTCAGATTAAGTACTTGATAAGTCAGCTAGTATTTATTGAGTCCCTGGGAGTGCACAGATAGCACCCTCTTTAGACACATGGCTGATGAAAAATAATCGCTCTTGGGGAGATTACATTTTTGTTAAGGTTATTATATAGATGCCTATGAAATGATTAAATAATGAAACAAGGCAGTATATGATTAAGTGACAAAATAAATGTATGTAGTAAATATTCTGGGTTGAAAGAATCAAATATCTTTATTTTAAAAAGTGATAACTGTGATTTTTTCTTAAAGGATATGTCTAGTATAAAATTGTAAAAGATGAGGCAGGTGGATCACTTGAGGCCAGGAGTTCGAGACCAGCCTGGCCAACATGGTGAAACCCTGTCTCTACTAAAAATACAAAAAATTGGCTGGATATGGTGGCGCATGCTTGTAGTCCCAGCTGCTCAGGAGGCTGAGGCATAAGAATTGCTTGAACCCAGGAGGTGGAGGTTGCAGTGAGCCAAGATCACGCCACTGCACTACAGCCTGGGTGACGGAGCAAGACTCTATCTCAAGAAAAAAAAAAAAAAAAAAGGAAAAAATGTTGGTTTCAGCAGGCTATCTATATTGTGCAAATCCCATTAAAAAGCATTTTATTTCTGAGACTTGTATGGGTCTAAATTTTAACTCTATATAGGATAGATTGGAGCTTGGAAGATTCTCGAGAGAAAAAAAACCATAAAACTATTGCAATAAGGATATAGAAATGAGTTCACTAGGACATATATATGACCATGAAGATAGAACAGAAGAGGCAGAAAGAAGAATCAATAGAATTTACTGACTTTCTGAAAATAAGCTATAAATGAGAGAAAAAGATCTGAAACAACATTTTTATTATATAATAATACAAATATTGTTCTAGGATTTTAAAATATTGAAATTTATTGTTACAATAACAAAATTTAAATACCACAGTGTTCATCCTATTTAAAGCTACTTATTATTGTAATAAAAGTCTGTTTTAAGATGAAATTCTGCTAAAAATGGTATTTTGGGTAAGTATTATAAAGAAGTGTTTTTGTAAAATTAGCTTAAAATGTTATCTTTCCTAAGTGAAACAACTTTTGGTCACTATTTAAAACTTAGTATTCTGTTTTATTATGTTTTAAATTTTATACTTTGGTCTGTTTATATTTCCAACTTAAAAAATATGCTTCCTTTAAAAATTTTCTGAAAAATTTCAGATTAGAAAAGGAATAGCGTTTTTTTTTTCTTTTATTACCCAAGAAAGCTTCATTTTAAAATTTAGCTTTCAAACTCTGTGCTTGTGCCTTCAACACTTTCACAAGGATTTTCTGCTCCTTGATGAAGAAAGCATGTTTGATCCTGTCATGGACACAATTAGCATACATGGAACCACCATAGGCTCTGCTGACACATTTTTTCAAGATAACCTCATAAGAACTTTAGGTCTCACAGCACAAACTCCTTGAAATCTACTTGGAGGCATGCCACGTGGAGATTTTGGTGCTTTCCTAACCTTCTTGGTATAAAGGTAAACAATTCTATTACCAGGGGTTTGGGACAGCCTAGTTTTGTTAGAGGCTGTATTGTAGGAAAGCCCATGATGATACGTCAAATGCTGGACCATTTTGAGTGCATCTAGATGCCATCCCTGGATGAAGAGGAAAATGTTTTTAATAATCAAATGTAAAAGTATATAATACTAGCAATCAAATTCCTCATTGAAAAGAGAGCTTTCTTCTTAAAAAGGGGAAAAAATCCCTTACTTTCATTAGAAAAAGACTGTTACTGTTTTTCCCATTTACCCTGATGGCGGTACTTGACCTGTATTCCTAGATTTCCCCCTCAACATTTTAGTAGGAAAATTTCAAACATACGTAATACTTGAAAGAACTTTACAGTGAACACCCATATACCCATTGTGGTAGACAGAATATGGCACCCAAGCATGTCCATGTCCTAATTTCAAGAACCTGTGAATATGTTACCTTATATGGCAAAAGGAATTTTGTAGGTGTGATTAAATTAAGCATTTTGAGATGGAGGGATTATGCTGGATTATTCGAATGGGCCCAGAGTACTCATAAGCATTCATATAAGAGGGAGACAGGAGAATCAGAGTCTGAGAAAGAGATGTGATAGTGGAACTAAAGGTTATAGTCGAAGAGAAAGCGACTGGAAGATGTTATGCTGCTAGCTTTGAAGATGGAGGAAGATGCTATGAACAAAGGAGCATATGTAAGTGGAAGCTGGAAGAAGCAAGGAAATGGATTCTCCCCCAGAGACTGTAGAAGGTATGCCGCCCTGCAGATACCTTGGACTTCTGACCTCCAGAACTGCAACAGAATAAATTTGAGTTGTTTTAAGCCACTAAGTTTGTTGTTATTTGTTACAGTAGTAATAGTAACCTAATGTACCTACTAATCAGATTCTATGCTTGATCTCATAGTATATCTATCTGTCATTGGTCTTATTTTTGGGATTCATTTCCAAATAAGTTGGAAATTATATGCTTCAGTATGTATATTATTAACTGGATTTTAATAATATTTGTTTATTTTTTCTTTCAATATAAAATTTATGTAGAATAAAATTCTTCACCCCTTTTCATCCAGAGGCAGCCCCTGTTCTAATTTTTTTCACTAAAGATAAGCTTATCTCTGTTCTAGATTTTTATATAAAGGGAATCATTCAGTATTTTTTTTGTGCAAGTTTTTTTTAACTCAGTGTAGTATTTTTGAGATTTATTCTTGTTGTGTGTGTTTGTAGTCAGTTCGTTTTTATCATTGAATAGTATCTATAATATAAATGTACCATAGTTTGTTGTTTTCATTAACATAGTTATGGATACCTAAGGGATTTTCAGTTGTTGTTTTTTATGAATACAGTTGCTATTCATATTGCTGTGCATATTCTTGTACCAGACATTTTGCAGGCATGTGTGATAAGCAAGAACAGATCTTATTCAGGAACTACTTATGAGATACTGATTTTGTCTCATGCCCTCCCAAATCTTTATTGCAAATTTTTAATACTTCTCATTAATAGTTTCTGAAGAGATCTTTTTATTTAGCATTTAAAACAGAGTGCAAAAAGATTGATACAATTAAAAATGAATAATTATATTTAGTTTTTGAAGATAAAAAAGTGGAATTAAAACACTGAACCACAGTTACTGTTAAGCCTGGATGGGACTGATTCTTAGGTCCTTGTATCGTTCGGAAGATATAAAGATACTGACCAACTACAGATATTCTTCAGTTAAGTAGGAATATTAAAATTTTAAGGGTAATGACTAAATAAATAGAAATAGGCTTTACATCTTCCCAAATGGTAGACAGAAAATATACAATTGTAATAAATTATCTTGGACTTGATGTTGTAAATAACCTTTAAAAGGATATATATAGATATAGATATATATGGAGATATATAGAGAGATATATATAGATATATATGGAGATATATATATAGATATATATATGGAGATATATATATAGATATATATATGGAGATATATATATAGATATATATATGGAGATATATATATAGATATATATATGGAGATATATATATAGATATATATATGGAGATATATATATAGATATATATATGGAGATATATATATAGATATATATATGGAGATATATATATAGATATATATATGGAGATATATATATAGATATATATATGGAGATATATATATAGATATATATATGGAGATATATATATAGATATATATATGGAGATATATATATAGATATATATATGGAGATATATATATAGATATATATATGGAGATATATATATAGATATATATATGGAGATATATATATAGATATATATATGGAGATATATATATAGATATATATATGGAGATATATATATAGATATATATATGGAGATATATATATAGATATATATATGGAGATATATATATAGATATATATATGGAGATATATATATAGATATATATATGGAGATATATATAGATATATATGGAGATATATACACAGATATATATATGGAGATATATACACACACATATATATGGAGATATATACACACACATATATATGGAGATATATATATACACATATATGGAGATATATATATATACACATATATATGGAGATATATATATATACACATATATATGGAGATATATATATACACATATATATGGAGATATATATATACACATATATATGGAGATATATATATACACATATATATGGAGATATATATATACACATATATATGGAGATATATATATACACACACATATATATGGATATATATATACACACATATATATGGATATATATGTACATATATATATATATATATATATATATTTTGAGATGGAGTCTTGCTTTGTCACCCAGGCTGGAGTGCAGTGGCACGATCTCAGCTCACTGCAACCTCCGCCTCCTGGGTTCAAGCGATTCTCCTGCCTCAGCCTCCTGAGTAGCTGGGATTACAGGCATGCACCACCACGCCCTGCTAATTTTTGTATTTTTGGTAGAGACAGGGTTTCACCATGTTGGCCAGGCTGGCCTCGATCTCCTGACCTCGTGATCCACCCACCTCAGCCTCCCAAAGTGCTGGGATTACACGGGTGAGCCACCATGCCTGGCCTCTGAAAGGATAATTTAAGGTCTTAATTATTTTCCTAAGCTTTTATCCTGATAAAAAATGTCGAAGCTGACTGGGTGCGGTGGCTCACACCTGTAATCCCAGCACTTTGGGAGGCTGAGGTGGGTGGATCACGAGGTCAGGAGATCGAGGCCAGCCTGGCCAACATGGTGAAACCCTGTCTCTACTAAAAATACAAAAATTAGCTGGGCATGGTGATGGATGCCTGTAATCCCAGCTACGTGGGAGGTTGAGGCAGGAGAATCGCTTGAATCCGGGAGACAGAGGTTGCAGTGAGCCAAGATCGTGCCATTGTACTCCAGCCTGGGTGACAGAGCAAGATTCTGTCTCAGAAAAAAAAAAAAAAAAAAAAAAAAAGTTGAAGCCATCTTCTGTGTACTCTGGAAACTGGTCCAGCTAATTGACATTCCTGGAATTCAATGCTAAAAAGTCTGTTAATGGTAAACTCTTTTAGCCTTTCCTTTTTCTTTTTCCAGAAAAATGTCTTTATTTTGCCATGAAATTGTAGATTACATTTGTGTTCTGTCAGTATTTTAAAGAGATTTTGTTGAGTTCTTTTGCTGCTATTTAGAAGTTTTCTGTCAATTGAATTTTTCCTCTAGGTAATCCATCATTTCTATTTGCTCTTAAGATCTGTTTGTCATTGATGATCTTTATTTTTAATGTGTCTATGTGTGGATTTATCTATATTTTTAGAGATTCATTTTGATGCCTGAATGTTATGAAAAACTTCAGCTGTGGTTTTTTTGAGTATTGCCCCTTATTTTCTCTATTATCTTTTTCTTGAACCCCAAATAGACAGCATATTGGCCCATGTCATTCTATCCTTTCTGACTCTTAACTCTCTTATATTTCTTCCTATTTGCCTCTCTGTACTGAGTTCTGTGTAATTCATTTTGTTGTTTTCTAATTGTCTCTTCAGATGTTTTTACCTGCTATCTAACCTTGCTTAGAGTTTTTAATTTCAATGATTACCTTTTTCATTTCTAGAGTTTCCTTCAAAGGATCCCCAAATTTAATACAGTGCTAATCAAAACCTAATGCAGTGGTTTTTAGAGCTTGGTAGGATGATTCTAAAGTTATATATTTAAGAAAAATGCATGAGAATAGCCAATAACATTTTCAAAAGAGAAGAATGAAGTTCTACTTGCTCTAGCAGATATTAAACCATGTTGAAATGCTGTAATAATTTAAAATGTGACATAGTTGCAGGAATAAATAAATCATTAAAAAGACAAGTCAATTCAATGGGTGAAAAGAACAATAGTCAGTAAGTGGTATTAGGAGCATTCATACATACCTTATACACAAAAATAAAACCCAGGGCTGGGTGTGGTGCCTCACACCTGTAATCCTAGCACTTTGGTAGGCCGAGGTGGGAGGATCACTTGAAGCCAGAAGTTTGAAAACAACCTGGGCAACATGATGTGACCCCATCTCAACAAAAAATCTTAAGAAATTTTATTTGGGACCCAGGCATGGTGGCTCACACCTGTAATCCTAGCACTTTGGGAGGCTGAGGTGGGCTAATCACTTGAGGTCAGGAGTTCGAGACCAGCCTGGCCAACATGGTGAAGCCCCATCTCTATTAAAAATACAAAAAATTAGCTGGGCATGGTGATGGGTGCTTGTAATCCCAGCTACTCGGGAGGCTGAGGCAGAAGAATCACTTGAACCCAGGAGGTGGAGGTTGCAGTAAGCCAAGATCATGTCACTGCACTCCAGCCTGGGCTAAAGAGTGAGACTCTGTCTCAAAAAAAAAGAAAACAAAATTTTAGCTGGGTGTGGTGATGCATGCCTGTAGTCCCAGCTACTTGGAAGGCTGAGGTAGGAGGATCACTTGCCAGAAGGTCAAGGCTGCAGTGAGCTGTGTTTGTGTCACTGCACTGCAGCCTGGGTGACACGGCAAGAGCTTGTCTCAAAAAGAAAAAAAAAAAAAAAAGCAGAAAAGAAAAACTAAATGCAAAGAAAAACACTCTACAAATACTAGAAAACATAAGAAACAATTCTTATATTCTTGGGCATAGAGATTATCCTTCATAAAGGAAAAGATGGCTGGATATGATGACTAGATTCTTAGCTCTTACGGGATAATAGCCATCATAAAGTTAAAAAAAAGTGACTGGCCAGGCACAGTGGCTCATACCTGTAATTCCAGTGCTTTGGGAGGCTGAGGTGGGAGGATCAATCACTTGAGGCCAGGAGTTGGAGGCCAGCCTGGGCAATATAATGAGACCCTTTATCTACAAGAAAAATTTTTAATTAGTTGGACATGATGGCATGTGCCCATAGTCCTAGCTACCTGGGCAGGAGGCTGAGGCAGGAGGATCACTTAATCCCAGCAGTTCGGGGTTACAGTGAGCTGTGATTGTACCACTGCAGTCCAGCATGGATGACAAGCAAGACTTTGTCTCTTAAAAAAAAAGTGATGCAGAGAAAATATTTGCAACATGCAAAACAATAAAAAAATCAATATCTTATTTACAAAATATTCCAAATCAAAACAACCCAACAGAAAAATGAACAGGATGAAGAAATACAAGTAATCATAAAATGTACAAAAATATGCTTAACTTTACTACTAATAAAATAAATGCAGATTAAAACAAAAATGAGATAATCAGTTTTTGATTCCCAGATTGGAAACATACTTAGATTGATGATTTCCAGCATTGGCTGGAGTTTTCAGGAATGAGTACGACTGTATTTTTTCCTTTTTGATGTAAATTAATATAGATAATGGATAGAAATTCAGTTTTATCTGTTTAAACTGGAATTTAAAATTTCACGATCATTAAGTCTGAACAGTTTATATTTTTATCTAGGATAATTTTTTGTTTGAGCTTACTTGGGCAAATATTTTGCTACAGTGATATTTACTATACTGTTGTAATGGGAAAAATTATAAACAGTCTAAATATCTGTGAACAGGCAGTAAATAAATGATGCTGTTATATTTGTGGCTCCCAATGAACCATATTTCATGTCCTTGAGTAGAGCACTCCCACATTAACTTAGCCCAGGTCATGTGACTTTCTTGGCCAACGAAATATTAGCAAGCATGTTACTAAGCAGAGGCTTGGTAAGTACTCTCACACTGGGGCTTTTTCTCTTAGAACAGATCCTCTTGGAAGCCAGAGCTATGTCATAAAGTTCAAAATAGATTATTTAATTATGAGAAGCTACATGGGGAAAGACACTGGAGTGTGAGCGGAAGTCACTGTCATTTCAGCCCTAGCCAAGCTACCATATAAATGCTTCTGCATGAATGACCTTATCCATAGCATGTGAAGCAGACCTGTCTTGCTAAGCCGGATCATTGTACAGAATTGTGAGACCTAATAAAATATTGTTTTAAATTACTAAGTTTTGAGGGTGGGGGCAAGATGGCCAAATAGAAGATTCTACCAATTGTCCTTCCTGCAGGAACACCAAATTTGACAACTACACAAAAAAGCACCTTCATACAGACCAAAAATGAAGTGATCACAGTACCTGGTTTTAACTTCATATTGCTGAAAGAGGCACTGAAGGGAGTTGGAAAGACAGTCTTGAATCTCCAACTCCACCCCTCCCCCAGCCCCTGCAGTGGCCACATGATGTGGAAAAACAATCTGTGCGGTTCAAGGAGAGTGCAGCAATTGTGGGAACTCAGTGCTGCCAACACCAGGCGGAACCCAGCCGGTGTCTATGGCGGGTGCATTCAGGCTAGCCCTAGCCAGAGGCGAATGACCCATCCCAGTGGTTTGAACTTGAGTTTCAGCAAGCCTTGCCGCTGGGGGGTTTCCAAATAACACCAATCTAGGCCACAAGGACTACACTTCCTAGGCAAGTCCTAGTGCTGTACTGGTCTCAGAGCCAGTGGACTTGGACTGGTCTCGGAGCCATTGGAGAGAGCATGCGACCCAGTGACACACCAGTCGGGGTGGCAAAGGGAGTGCTTATGCCACCCCTCTTCAACCCCAGGCAGTGCAGTGTACAGCTCCCAAAGAGACTCCTTCCTGCTTGAAGAGAGGAGAGGGAAGAGGTAAGAGGATTTTGTTTTGCAACTTGGATACCAGCTTTGCCACAGTAGGATAGGGCACTGGGCAGAGTTATCAGGCTCCCATTCCAGGCCCTAACTCCCAGACAACATTTCTAGACACATCCTGGATTAGACAGGAAACCTGCTGCCTTGAAGGGAAGGATTCAGTTCTGGCAGGATTCACTACCTGCTAACTTAAGAGCGCTTGGGCCTTGAATAATCGGCAGCAATAACCAGGTAGTACATGCTGTGGGCCTTGGGTGAGACTCAGACATGCTGGCTTCAGGTGTGATCCAGCATATTCACAGCTATGGTGGCTATGAGGAGAGACCCCTTCCACTTGAGAAAAGGAGGGGGAAGAATAAAGGGAACTTTTCTTGCAGCTTAGGTACCAGCTTGGCTACAGTGGGGAAGAGCACCAAGTGGGCTCTAGGGGTTCCCAATTCCAGGCATTGGCTCATGGACAGCATCTCTGGACCTACCCTGGGCCAGAGGGGAGCCCACTGTCCTGAAGGGTGTGTCCTGGCCTGGACTTGGGCCTTAAGTGAACATCAGTGGTACCCTGTCAATACTCCCTGTTGGCTGTGGTGGTGGTGGCCATGGGGAGAGATTCCTCTGCTTTGGGAAAGTTGAGGGAAGAACGGGAAGAACCTTGTCTTGTGGTTTTGGTGCCAGCTTAGCCACAGTGGAATAGAGCACCAGGTGGATTTCTTAGGTTTTTGACTCTGGGCCCTGGCTCCTGGATGGCATGGACCTGCCTAGAGCTCAGGGACAGTCACTTCCCTGAAAAGAAGGATACAAGACTGCCTGGCTTTGCCACCTGGTGATTGTAGATCGCTAAGGCCTTGAGTGCACACTGGTGGTAGTCAGGTAGTGGCTATAGCAGGCCTTGGGTAAGACCCAGTGCTGTACTGGGTTCAGGTCTGACCCAGTGCAGTCCCAGTGGTGGTCGTCACAGGGGTGCTTGTGTCACCTGTCCCCCAACTCCAGGAAGCTCAGCACAGAGAGATAATCCATTTATTTGGTAGAAAGTGAGAGTAGAGGCCAGGAGCGTTGGCTCACGCCTGTAATCCCAGCATTTTGGGAGGCTGAGGCAGGCGGATCACGAGGTCAGGAGTTTGAGACCAGGCTGGCCAACACAGTGAAACCCCGTCTCTACTAAAAATACAAAAAATTAGCCGGGCGTAGTGGTCGGTGCCTGTAATCCCAGCTACTTGGGAGGCTGAGGCAGGAGAATGGCTTGAACCCGGGAGGTGGAGGTTGTGGTGAGCCAAGATTGTGCCATTGCACTCCAGCCTGGGCGACAGAGCAAGACTCCGTCTCAAAAAAAAAAAGAAAAAAAAAAAAGTAAGAGGAGAGAATGAGTCCCTGCTTGGTAATTCAGATAATTCTTCTGGATCTTATCCAAGACCACCAAGGCAATACTTCTGAGTCTACAAGAACTACATCGTTATTGGGCTTGTGGTGCCCCCTAGTGCAGATGCGGCTGCAGTGACAAAAAACTTAGATCACAACACTCAGGTCCCTTCAAATACCTGGAAAGCCTTCCCAAGAAGGATGGGTACAAAAAGGCCAGACTGTGAAGACTACAAAAAATACCCCACTCTTCAATGCCCAGACACTGACGAACACTCACAAGCATCAAGACCATCCAGAAAAACATACCTCACCAAACAAACTAATAAGGCAACAGGGACCAGTCCCAGAGAAAGAGAGACATGTGAACTTTCAGAGAAGTCAAAATAGCTGTTTTGAGGAAGCTCAAAGAAATTCAGGATAACACAGAAGAATTTAGAATTCTGCCAAATAAATTTAATAAAGAGATTGAAATAATTAAAAAAGAGTCAAGCAGAAATTCTGGAATTGAAAAATGCAATTGACATACTGAAGAATGCATCAGAGTCTCATAATAGCAGAATTGATCAAGCAGAAGAAAGAATTAGTGAGCTTGAAGACAGGCTGTTTGAAAATATACAGTCAGAGAAAAAAGAAACACACATACAAAATCGAGAAAATAGCCTCAAAAGGGCAAATCTAAGTGTTTTTGGCCTTAAAGAGGACGTAGAGAGAGAGAGGAGTAGAAAGTTTATTCAATGGGATAATAACAGAGAACTTCCCAAATCTTTAGAAAAATATCAATATTCAAATACAAGAAGGTTATAGAAAACCATGCAGATGTAACCCAAAGAAGACTACCTTGAGGCATTTAATAATCACACTCCCAAAGGTCAAGGATAAAGAAAGATTCCTAAAAGCATCAAGATAAAAGAAACAAATAACATACATGGAGCTCCAATACATCTGGCAGCAGACTTTTCAGTGGAAACCTTACAGGCCAGGACATATTTATGGTGCTGAAGGAAAAAAGGTTTTACCCTAGAATAGTATGTACAGTGAAAATATCCTTCAAACATGAAGGAGAAATAAAGACTTACCCAGATAAATAAAAGCTGAGGGATTTCATTAACACCAGACCTGTCCTACAAGAAATGCTAAAGAGAAGTCTTCAGTCCAAAAGAAAAGGATGTTAATCAGTGATAAGAAATCATCTGAAGGTAAAACTCACTGGTAATAGTAGGTACACAGAAAAACACAGAATATTATAACACTGTAAGTGTGATGTGTAAACTACTTATATCTTAAGTAGAAAGATGAAAAGATGAACCAATTAAAAATAATAACTACAACAGCTTTTCAAGACATAGACAGTATAATAAGATATGAATGGAAACAACAAAAATGTAAAAAGTGAGGAGACAAAGTTAAATTATTGAGTTTTTATAAGTTTTCTTTTGCTTGTTTGGTAATTAGCTTGTTTGTTTATGCAATCAGTATTAATTTGTTATCACTTTAAAATAATGGGTTAAAGATAGTATTTGCAAGCCTAATGGTAACCTCAAATTGAAAACCATACAAGAGATGCACAAAAATAAAAAGCAAGGAATTAAAAAATACCACCAGAGAAAAATCACCTTCATTGAAAGAAAGACAGGAAGGAAGAAAAAAGGAAAACCACAAAACAACCAGAAAAAAAAAATAACAAAATGATGAGAGATAGTCCTCACTTATCAATAATAACATTGAATGTAAATGGACTAAATTCTCCAATAAGAACATGTAGGATGGGTCGCTTCCAAGATGGCTGAATAGGAACAGCTTCGGTCTACAGCTCCCAGGGAGACTGATGCAGAAGATGGGTGATTTCTGCATTTCCAACTGAGATACCTGGTTTATCTCGTTGGGACTGGTTGGACAGTGGGTGCAGCCCGTGGAGGGCGAGCTGAAGCAGAGCGGGGTGTCGCCTCACCCAGGAAGCGCAAGAGGTCAGGGGATTTTCCTTTCCTAGCCAAGGGAAGATGTGACTGTACCTGGAGGAACAGTACACTCCTGTGCAAATACTGCACTTTACCATGGTCTTCGCAACTGGCTGACCAGGAGATTCCCTCCTGTGCCTGTCTCGGCAGGTCCAACGCCCATGGAGCCTTGCTTGCTTGCTAGTGCAGCAGTCTGAGATTGACCTGGGATGCTGAAATTTGGCAGGGGGAGGGGCATCTGCCATTGCTGAGGCTTGAGTAGGTGGTTCTGTGCTCACCGTTTAAACAAAGCAGCAAGGAAGCTTGAACTGGGTAGAGCCAACTGCAGCTCAGCAAGGCCTACTGCCTCTCTAGATTCCACCTCTGGTGGCAGGGCATATCTGAACAAAAGGCAGCAGATAGCTTCTCCAGACTTAAACATCCCTGCCTGACAGCTCTGAAGACATCATTGGTTCCGCCAGCATGGTGTTCAAGCTCTGATGACAGACAGACTGCCTCAAATGGGTCCCTGACCCCCTTTAGCCTGACTGGGAGATCTCCCAGTAGGGACCAACAGACACCTCATATAGGCAGGTGCCCCTCCCTCTGGGACGAAGCTTCCAGAGGAAGGATCAGAGAGCAATATTTGCTGTTCTGCAGCCTCCACTGGTGATACCCAGGCAAACAGGGTCTGGAGTGGACCTCCAGCAAACTCCAACAGACCTGCAGCTGAGGAGACAGTCTGTTAGAAGGAAAACTAACAAACAGAAAGGAATAGCATCAACATCAACAAAAAGGACGTTCACACCAAAACACCATCCGTAGGTCACCAACATCAAAGACCAAAGGTAGATAAAACCACAAAGATGGGGAGAAACCAGAGCAGAAAGGCTGAGAATTCCAAAAACCAGAATGCCTCTTCTCCTCCAAAGGAACACAACTCCTCGCCAGCAAGGGAAAAAAACTGGACAGAGAATGAGTTTGACAAGTCGACAGAAGTAGGCTTCAGAAGGCCAGTAATAACAAACTTCTCCGAGCTAAAGGAGCATGTTCTGACCCATTGCAAGGAAGCAAAAAACCTTGAAAAGTTAGACAAATGGCTAACTAGAATAACCAGTGTAGAGAAGAGCTTAAGTGACCTGATGGAGCTGAAAACTACAGTACGAGAACTTCGTGAAGCATACACAAGCTTGAGTAGCCAATACGATCAAGCTGAAGAAAGGATATCAGTGATTGAAGATCAAATTAATGAAATAAAGTGAGAAAACAAGATTAGAGAAAAAAGAATGAAAAGAAACGAACAAAGCCTCCAAGAAATATGAGACTATGTGAAAAGACCAAATCTACGTTTGATTGGTGTACCTGAAAGTGACAGGAAGAATGGAAACAAGTTAGAAAACACTCTTCAGGATATTATCCTGGAGAACTTCCCCAACCTAGCAAGGCAGGCCAACATTCAAATTCAAAAAATACAGAGAACACCACAAAGATACTCCTTGAGAAGAGCATCCCCAAGACACATAACTGTCAAATTCACCAAGGTTGAAATGAAGGAAAAAATGTTAAGGGCAGCCAGAAAGAAAGGTTGGGTTACCCACAAAGGGAAGCCCATCAGACTAACAGCAGATCTCTCAGCAGAAACTCTACAAGCCAGAAGAGAGTGGGGGCAAATATTCAACATTCTTAAAGAAAAGAATTTTCAACCCAGAATTTCATATCCAGCCAAACTGAGCTTCATAAGTGAAGGAGAAATAAAATCCTTTACAAACAAGCAAATGCTGAGAGATTTTGTCACCACCAGGCCTGCCTTACAAGAGCTCCTGAAGGAAGCACTAAACATAGAAAGGAACAAACGGTACTAGTCCCTGCAAAAACATGCCAAATTGTAAAGACCATCAATGCTATGAAGAAACTACATCAATTAATGGGCAAAATAACCAGCTAGCATTATAATGACAGAATCAAATTCACACATAACTGCATTAACCTTAAATGTAAATGGGCTAAATGCCCAAACTAAAAGACACAGACTGGCAAACTGGATAAAGAGTCAAGACCCATCAGTGTGTTGTATTCAAGAGACCCACCTCACGTGCAGAGACACACATAGGCTCAAAATAAAGGGATGGAGGAGGATATACCAAGCAAATGGAAAGCAAAAAAAAAAAAAAAACCAAAACAAACAAACAAACAAAAAAACAAAAACCAGGGGTTGCAATCCTGGACTTTAAACAAACAAAGATCAGAAGAGACAAAGAAGGCCATTACATAATGGTAAAGGGATCAATTCAACAAGAAGAGCTAACTATCCTAAATATATATGCACCCAATACAGGAGCACCCAGATTCATAAACCAAGTTCTTAGAGACCTACAAAGAGACTTAGACTCCCACACAATAATAGTGGGAGACTTTAACACCCCAATGTCAATATTAGATCAACGAGGCAAAAAATTAACAAGGATATCCAGGACTTGAACACAGCTCTGCACCAAGCAGACCTAATAGATATCTACAGAACTCTCCGCCCCAAATCAACAGAATATACATTCTTCTTGGCACCACATCGCACTTATTCTAAAATTGACCACATAATTGGAAGTAAAACACCCTCAGCAAATGTAAAAGAACAGAAATCACAACAAACTGTCTCTCAGACCACAGGGCAATCAAATTAGAACTCAGGATTAAGAAACTCACTCAAAACTGCTCAACTACATGGAAACTGAACAACCTGCTCCTGAATGACTACTGGGTCCATAACGAAATGAAGGCAGAAATAAAGATGTTCTTTGAAACCAATGAGAACAAAGACGCAATGTACCAGAGTCTTTTGGACACATTTAAAGCAGTGGATAGAGGGAAATTTATATCACTAAATGCCCACAAGAGAAAGCAGGAAAGATCTAAAATTGACACCCTAACATCACAATTAAAAGAACTAGAGAAGCAGGAGCAAACAAATTCAAAATCTAGCAGAAGACAAGAAATAACTAAGATCAGAGAAGAACTGAAGGAGATAGAGATACAAAAAACCCTTCAAAAAATTAATGAATCCAGGAGCTGGTTTTTTGAAAAGATCAACAAAGTAGATAGACTGCTAGCAAGACTAATGAAGAAAAGAGAGAAGAATCAAATAGTCGCAATAAAAAATGATAAAGGGGATATGACGACTGATCCCACAGAAATACAAACTACTGTCAGAGAATACTATAAACACCTATACGCATATAAACTAGAAAATCTAGAAGAAATGGGTAAATTCCTGGACACATACACCCTTCCAAGACTAAACCAGGAAGAAGTTGATCTCTGAATAGACCAATAACAGATTCTGAAATTAAGGCAATAATTAATGGACTACCAACCAAAGAAAGTCCAGGACCAGACGGATTCACAGCCGAATTCTACCAGAGGTACAAAGAGGAGCTGACACCATTCCTTCTGAAACTATTCCGATCAATAGAAAAAGAAGGAATCCTCCCTAAATCATTTTATGAGGCCAGCATCATTCTTATACCAAAGCCTGGCAGAGACACAATAAAAAGAGAGAATTTTAGGCCAATATCCCTGATGAACATCAGTGCGAAAATCCTCAATAAAATACTGGCAAACCAAATCCAGCAGCACATCAAAAAGCTTATCTACCATGATCAAGTTGTCTTCATCCCTGGGATGCAAGGCTGGTTCAACATATGCATATCAATAAATGTAATCTATCACATAAACAGAACAAATGACATAAACCACATGATTATCTCAAGAGATGCAGAAAAGGCCTTTGACAAAATTCAACAGCCTTTCATGCTAAACACTCTTAATAAACTAGGTATCGATGGAACGTATCTCAAAATAATTAGAGCTATTTAGGACAAACCCACAGCCAATATCATACTGAATGGGCAAAGACTGGAAGCATTCCCTTTGAAAACTGGCATAAGACAAGGATGCCCTCTCTCACCACTCCTATTCAACACAGTATTGGAAGTTCTGGCCACGGCAGTCAGGCAAGAGAAAGAAATAAAGGGTATTCAAATAGGAAGAGAGGAAGTCAAATTGTCTCTGTTTGCAGATGACATGATTGTATATTTAGAAAACCCCATCATCTCAGCCCCAAATCTCCTTAAGCTGATAAGCAACTTCAGCAAAGTCTCAGGATACAAAATCAATGTGCAAAAATCACAAGCATTCCTATACACCAATAACAGACAAACAGAGAGCCAAGTCATGAGTGAATTCCCATTCACAATTACTACAAAGAGAATAAAATACCTAGGAATCCAACTTACAAGGGATGTGAAGGACCTCTTCCAGGAGAACTACAAACCACTGTTCAAGGAAATAAGAGAGGACACAAACAAATGGAAAAAACAAACACTCTATACACTGCTTTAAATGTGTCCCAGAGATTCTGGTACATTGTTTCTTTGTTCTCACTGGTTTCAAAGAACATCTTTATTTCTGCCTTCATTTCGTTATTTACCCAGCAGTCATTCAGGAGCAGGTTGTTCCATGTAGTTGTGTGGACCTACACACAACTGAAGTTTGAGTGAGTTTCTTAATCCTGAGTTCTAATGTGATTGCACTGTGGTCTCAGAGACAGTTTGTTGTGATTTCTATTCTTTTACATGCTCATGGATAGGAAGAATCAATATTCTGAAAATGGCCTTACTGCCCAAAGTAATTTATAGATTCAATGCTGTCCCCATCAAGCTACCACTGACCTTTTCACAGAATTGGAAAAAACTACTTTAAAGTTCATATGGAACCAAAAAAGAGCCCGCATTGACAAGACAATCCTGGGCAAGAAGAACAAAGCTGGAGGCATCATGCTACCTGACTTCAAACTATACTACAAGGCTACAGTAACCAAAACAGCATGGTACTGGTACCAAAACAGATATATAGACCAATGGAACAGAATGGAGGCCTCAGAAATAACACCACACATCTACCACCATCTGATCTTTGACAAACCTGACACACATAAGCAATGGGGAAAAGATTCTCTATTTAATAAATAGTGTTGGGAAAACTGGCTAGCCATATGCAGAAAACTGAAACTGGACCCCTTCCTTACACCTTATACAAAAATCAACTCAAGATGGATCAAAGACTTAAATGAAAGACCTAGGACCATAAAAATCCTGGAAGAAAACCTGGGCAATACCATTCAGGACATAGGCGTGGGCAAAGACTTTATGTCTAAAACACGAAAAGCAATGGCAACAAAAGCCAACATTGACAAATGGGATCTAATTAAACTAAAGAACTTCTGCACAGCAAAGAAAGTATCATCAGAGTGAACAGGCAACCTACAGAATGGGAGAAAATTTTTGCAATCTACTCATCTGACAAAGGGCTAATATCCAGAATCTACAAAGAACTCAAACAAATTTACAAGAAAAAAGCAAACAACCCCATCAAAAAATGAGCAAAGGATGTGAACAGACACTTCTCAAAAGAAGACATTTATGCAGCCAAGAGACCTGTGAAAATATGCTCATCATTGCTGGTCATTAGAGAAATGCAAATCAAAGCCACAGTGAGATACCATCTCATGCCAGTTAGAATGGTGATCATTAAAAAGTCAGAAAACAGCAGATGCTGGAGAGGTTGTAGAGAAATAGGAATGCTTTCACGTTGGTGGGAGTATAAATTAGTTCAACCATTGTGGAAGACAGTGTGGCGATTCCTCAAGGATCTAGAACTAGAAATACCATTTGACCCAGCCATGCCATTACTGGGCATATACCCAAAGGATTATAAATCATGCTGCTGTAAAGACACATGCACACGTATGTTTATTGCGGCACTATTCACAATAGCAAAGACTTGGAACCAACCCAGGTGTCCATCAATGATAGACTGGATTAAGAAAATGTGGCACATATACACCATGGAATACTATGCAGCCATAAGAAAGGATGAGTTCATGTCCTTTGTAGGGACATGGATGAAGCTGGAAACCATCATTCTCAGCAAACTATCACAAGATCAGAAAACCAAACACCACATGTTCTCACTCATAAGTGGGGGTAGAACAATGAGAACACATGGACACAGGGAGAGGAACATCACACACAGGGGCCTGTGGGGGGTGGGTGACTAGGGGAGGGATAACATTAGGAGAAATACCTAATGTACATGACAGGTTGATGGGTGCAGGAAACCACCATGGCATGTGAATACCTATGTAACAGAACTTCACATTCTGCACATGTAATCCAGAATTTAAAGTATATATAAATATATATAAATACATAAAGAACATGTAGCGTGGCTGAATAGATTAAAAAAAAAGACTCAACAATCTGTTACCTACAAGAGACACACTTCACCTATAAAGTCACACATAGACTAAAAATAAAGGGATGAAAAAGATATTCCATGCAAATGGAAACCAAAAAAGAGCAGGAGTAGCTATATTTATATCAGACAAAATAGTTTTTGTTTTGAGAAAACAAAGAAGGTGTTTTGAGGGACAAAGAAGGTCATTATATAATGATAAAGGGGTCAAGTCAGAAAGAGGATATAACAGTTGTAAAAATATATGCATTAACACTGGAGCACCCGTATGTTTAAAACAAATGTTACTAGAGCTAAAGAGAGAGATAGACTTTCATACAATAATAGTTGGAGACTTCAACACTCCACTTTCAACATTGGACAGATCATCCAGACAGAAAGTCAACAAAGAGACACTGGACTTAATCTGTACTGTAGACCAAGTGAACCTAATAGGTACTTATAGAACATTTCATCCAATAGCTGCAGAATACAAATTATTCTCCTCAGCACATGGATCATTCTCAAGGTTAGACCATATGTTAGGCCACAAAACAAGTCTTAAAACATTTAAAAAATTGAAATAATATCAAGTATTTTCTTTGACAACAATGGCATAAAACTGGAAATCAATAATGAGGAATTTTGGAAAGTATGCAAACAATGGAAATTAAACAGTATGCTCCTGAATGATCAGTTGGTCAATGAAGAGATCAAGAAGGAAATTGAAAAATGTCTTGAGACAAACGATAATGGAAACACAACATACCAAAACCTATGGGATACAGCAAAATCAATAGTAAGATGGAAGTTTATAGCTGTAAGTGTCTACATCAAAAAAAAAGAAAAACTTCAAATAAACAACCTAATTATACATCTTAAGGAACTAGAAAAGCAAGAGCAAACCAAACCCAAATTTAGTAGAAGAAAAGAAATGATAAAGATCAGAGCAGAAATAAATGAAACAAGAAAAACAATACAAAAAAGCAACAGAAAGTTCTTTTTTTGAAAAAATAAAATTGACAAACTGTTATCCAGACTAAGAAAACAAGAGAAAAGACCCAAATAAATAAAATCAGAGATGAAAAAGGAGACATCACAACTGATACTGCAGAAATTTGAAGGATCTTTAGAGGCTATGAGCAGCTATATGCCAATAAATTGGAAAACCTAGAAGAAATGGATAAATTTCTAGACACATATAACCTACCAAGATTAAACTATGAAGAAATCCAAAACCTGAAGAGACCAATAACAAGTAATGAGGCAGAAGCTGTAGTAAAAAGTATCCCAGCAAAGAAAAAGCCTGGGACCCAATGGCTTCACTGTGGAATTTTATCAACCATTTAAAGAAGAACTAATACCAATTCTACTCAAACTATTCCAAAAAAAAGTAGAGGCAGAAGGAATACCTCCATAATCATTCTACAAGGCTGTTATTACACTGATACCAAACCAGACAAAGACACATTACAAAAAAAAGAAAGAAAAAGAAAACTACAGGCTAATATCTCTGATGAACATTGATACAAAAATTCTCAACAAAATACTAGCAAACAGCATTCAACAACAGATTAAAAGTATCATTTATCATGACCAAGTGGGATTTATCACAGGGATCCAAGGATGTTTCCACATATGCAAATCAATGTGATATAGCATATCAACAGAATGAAGGACAAACATATAACTATTCCAATTTATTCTGAGAAAACATTTGATAAAATTCAACGTCCCTTCATAATTAAAAACCCTCAAAAACTGGATATAAAAGGAGCATACCTCAATACAGTAAAAGCCATATATGATAGACCAAGAGCTAGTATTATACTGAATGGGAAGAAACTGAAACCTTTTCCTCTAAAATCTGGAACATGACAAGGATGCCCACTGTTATTCAACATAATACTGGAAGCCCTAGCTAGAGCAATCAGACAAGAATAAATAAAGGGCATCCAAATTGGAAAGGATGAATTCAAATTATCCTTGTTTGCAGATGATATGATCTTCTATTTGGAAAAACCTAAAGATTCCACCAAAAACTATTAGAACTGATAAACATATTCAGTAAAGTTGCAGAATACAAAATCATCATACAAAAACCAGTAGCATTTCCATATGCCAACAGCAAGCAATCTGAAAAAGAAGTCAAGAAAGTAATCTCATTTACAATAGCTACAAATAAAATTAAATATCTAAGGAATAACTTAATCAAAGAATTGAATGCTCTCTACAATGAAAACTATAAAACATTGGTGAAAGAGATGGAAGAGAACACAAAAAATAATGGAAAGATATTCCATGTTCATGGTTTGGAAGAATCAATATTGTTCAAATGCCCATACTACCCACAGCAATCTACAAATTTAAAGCAATGCCAATGAAAATATTAATGGCATTCTTCAGAGAAATAGAAAAAAAAATTCTAAAATTTATATGGAACCACGAAAGACCCAGACTAGCCAAAGCTATCCTGAACAAAAAGAACAGAACTGCAGGAATCACATTGCCTGACTTCAAATTATACTACAGAACTATGGTAACCAAAACAGCATGGTACTGGCATTAAAAACAAACACATAGACCAATGCAACAGAATAGAGAACCCAGAAACAAAGTCACACACCTATAGTGAACTCATTTTCAACAAAGGTGCCAAGAACATACATTGAGGAATGACTGTTCAATAAATGGTGCTGAAAAACCTGGATATACATGTGCGGAAGAATGAAAGTAGACCACTATGTTTCCGTATACAAAAACAAAACCAAAATGGACTAAAGACTTAAATCTAAAACCTCAAGCCATGAAATTACTAAAAGAAAATATTGGGGGAAACTCTCCAGGACATTGGACTGGGCAGAGATTTCTTGAGTAATACCCAGAAGCACAGGAACCAAAGCAAAAATGGACAAATGGGATCACATCAAGCTGAAAAGCTTCTGCACAGCAAAAGAAACAATCAACAAAGTGAAGAGAAAACTCACAGAACGGGAGAAAATATTTGCAAATGATCAATCTGACAAGGGATAAATAACCAAAATACATAAAGAGCTCAAACATCTATATAGGAAAAAATCTAACAATCCAATTTAAAAATGGGCAAAAGATCTGAATATTTCTCAAAAGAAGGCATACAAATCGCACACAGGTATATGAAAAGATGTTCAACATCACTGATCATCAGAGAAATGCAAATCAAAACTACAATGAGATACCATCTCACCCCAGTTAAAGTAGCTTTTATCCAAAAGACAGGCAATAACAAATGTTGTTGAGGATATGGAGAAAAGAGAACCCTCATACACTGTTGGTGGAAATGTAAATTAGTATAACCCCTACGGAGAACAATTTGCAGGTTTCTTAAAAAACTGAAAATAGAGCTACCATATGATCCAGCAATCCCACCACTAGGTATATACCCAAAGGAAAGGAAATCAGTGTATCAAAGAGATATCTGTACTCCCGTGTTTATTGTAGCACTATTCACAGTAACCAAGATTTTGAAGCAACCTAAGTGTCTGTAAATAGATGAATGGATAATGAAAATGTGGTACATATACACAGTGTATATGAATGTATAACTCAGCCATAAAGAAGAATGAGATCTTATTACTTGCAACAACACGGATGGAACTGGAGGTCATTATGTTAAGTGAAATAAGCCAGGCACAGAAAGATAAACTTTGCATGTCCTCACTTATTCGTGGGAGGTAAAAATTAAAACAGTTGAACTCATGGAGATAGAGAGTAGAATGATGGTTACTAGAGGCTGGGAAGGGTAGTGGGAGTGGGGTTAGGGGTGAGCTGGGGATGGTTCATGGGTACAAAAAAAAATAAGACTGAATAAGATCTAGTAACTGATAGCACAATAAGGTGACTATAGTCTAATAATTTAGTTGTACATTTAAAGATAACTGAGAGTATTAACTGGATTATTTGTAACATAAAGGATAAATGCTTGAGGTGATGGATGCCCTACTTACCCTGATGTGATTTTTTTTTTTTTTTTTGAGACACAGTCTTGCTCTGTTGCCCAGGCTGGAGTGCAGTGGCACGATCTTGGCTCCAGGCAACCTCTGCCTCCCAGATTCAAGTGATTCTCGTGCCTCAGCCTCCTGAATAGCTGGGATAACAGGTTTGTGCCACCATGCCCTCACGGGCTAATTTTTGTATTTTTAGTAGAGATGGGGTTTTACTATGTTGGCCAGGCTGGTCTTGACCTGGTCTCAAGTGGTCTGCCCACCTCGGCCTCCCAAAGTGCTGGGATTATGGGTGTGAGCCACTGTGCCTGGCCCTGATGTGACTTTTATGTAATGTATGCCTGTGTCAAAATATCCTATGGACCATGTATATACACACACACACACACACACACACACACACACACACACACACAGCCCTACTATGTACCCACAGATATTAAAAATAAAGAATGTTTTAAAAGTTTAAAAAATCATGAAATTTTGGGGAGGTTTAATATGCAGAATTGGATGATTGAATCAAATATGAAGAATATTTTGTTGCTATTAAAAAAATAAAGAGCCAGGTGAAGTGGGTGCACACCTGGAGTTGCAGCTACTAGGGAGGCTGAGGTGGGAAGAGTTAAGAGTCCAGCCTGGGGAATATATATATATACATATATACATATATATGTATATATATGTATATGTGTGTATATATATATATATGTGAGAACATGTGGTGTTTGCTTTTTTGTCCTTATGATAGTTTGCTGAGAATGATGGTTTCCAGCTTCATCCATGTCCCTACAAAGGACATGAACTCATCCTTTCTTATGGCTGCATAGTATTCCATGGTGTATATGTGCCACATTTTCTTAATCCAGTCTATCATTGATGGACATCTGGGTTGGTTCCAAGTCTTTGCTATTGTGAATAGTGCCGCAATAAACATACGTGTGCATGTGTCTTTACAGCAGCATGATTTATAATCCTTTGGGTATATACCCAGTAGTGGGATGGCTGGGTCAAATGGTATTTCTAGTTCTAGATCCTTGAGGAATCGCCACACTGACTTCCACAATGGTTGAACTAGTTTACCGTCCCACCAACAGTGTAAAAGTGTTCCTATTTCTCCACGTCCTCTCCAGCACCTGTTGTTTCCTGACATTTTGATGATCGCCGTTCTAACTGATGTGAGATGGTATCTCACTGTGGTTTTGATTTGCATTTCTCTGATGGCCAGTGATGATGAGCATTTTTTCATGTGTCTTTTGGCTGCATAAGTGTCTTCTTTTGAGAAGTGTCTGTTCATATCCTTTGCCCACTTTTTGATGGGGTTGTTTGTTTTTTTCTTGTAAATTTGTTTGAGTTCTTTGTAGATTCTGGATATTAGCCCTTTGTCAGATGAGTAGATTGCAAAAATTTTCTTCCATTCTGTAGGTTGCCTGTTCACTCTGATGGTAGTTTCTTTTGCTGTGCAGAAACTCTTTAGTTTAATTAGATCCCATTTGTCAATGTTGGCTTTTGTTGCCATTGCTTTTGGTGTTTTAGACATGAAGTCCTTGCCCATGCCTATGTCCTGAATGGTATTGCCTAGGTTTTTTTCTAGGGTTTTTATGGTTTTAGGTCTAACATTTAAGTCTTTAATCCATCTTGAATTAATTTTTGTATAAAGTGTAAGGAAGGGATCCAGTTTCAGTTTTCTACATATGGCTAGCCAGTTTTCCCAGCACCATTTGTTAAATAGGGACTCCTTTTCCCATTTCTTGTTTTTGTCAGGTTTGTCAAAGATCAGATGGTTGTAGATGTGTGGTATTATTTCTGAGGGCTCTGTTCTGTTCCATTGGTCTATATCTCTGTTTTGGTACCAGTACCATGCTGTTTTGGTTCCTGTAGCCATGTAGTATAGTTTGAAGTCAGGTAGCGTGATGCCTCCAGCTTTGTTCTTTTGGCTTAGGATTGCCTTGGCAATGCGAGCTCTTCTTTGGTTCCATATGAACTTTAAAGTAGTTTTTTCCAATTCTGTGAAGAAAGTCATTGGTAGCTTGATGGGGATGGCATTGAATCTATAAATTACCTTGGGCAGTATGGCCATTTTCACGATATTGATTCTTCCTATCCATGAGCATGGAATGTTCTGTTTGTTTCCTGTTGTATTTTGTTGAGCAGTGGTTTGTAGTTCTTCTTGAAGAGTTCCTTCACATCCCTTGTAAGATGGATTCCTAGGTATTTTATTCTCTTTGAAGCAACTGTGAATGGGAGTTCACTCATGATTCGGCTCTTTGTTTGTTATTGGTGTATAAGAATGCTTGTGATTTTTGCACATTGATTTTGTATCCTGAGACTTTGCTGAAGTTGCTTATCAGCTTAAGGAGATTTTGGGCTGAGATGATGGGGTTTTCTAAATATACAATCATGTCATCTGCAAACAGGGACAATTTGACTTCCTCTTTCCCTAATTGAATATCCTTTATTTCTTTCTCCTGTCTGATTGCCCTGGCCAGAACTTCCAACACTATGTTGAATAGGAGTGGTGAGATAGGGCATCCCTGTCTTGTGCCAGTTGTCAAAGGGAATGCTTTCAGTTTTTGCCCATTCAGTATGATATTGGCTGTGGGTTTGTCATAAATAGCTCTTATTATTTTGAGATACATCCCATCAATACCTAATTTATTGAGAGTTTTTAGCATGAAAGGCTGTTGAATTTTGTCAAAGGCCTTTTCTGCATCTATTGAGATAATCATGTGGTTTTTGTCTTTGGTTCTGTTTATATCTTGGATTATGTTTAATGATTTGTATATGTTGAACCAGCCTTGCATCCCAGGGATGAAGCCCACTTGATCATGGTGGATAAGTTTTTTGATGTGCTGCTGGATTCGGTTTGCCAGTATTTTATTGAGGATTTCTGCATCAATGTTCATCAGGAGTATTGGTCTAAAATTCTCTTTTTTTGTTGTGTCTCTGCCAGGCTTTGGTATCAGGATGATGCTGGCCTTATAAAATGAGTTAGGAGATGCTTGAAGGCAGCATGCTCCTTAAGAGTCATCACCACTCCCTAATCTCAAGTACCCAGGGACACAAACACTGCGGAAGGCTGCAGGGTCCTCTGCCTAGGAAAACCAGAGACCTTTGTTCACTTGTTTATCTGCTGACCTTCCCTCCACTATTGTCCTATGACCCTGCCAAATCCCCCTGTGCAAGAAACACCCAAGAATGATCAATAAAAAAAAAAAAAAAAAAGAAAAAAAAATGAGTTAGGGAGGATTCCCTCTTTTTCTATTGATTGGAATAGTTTCAGAAAGAATGGTACCAGCTCCTCTTTGTACCTCTGGTAGAATTCGACTGTGAATCCATCTGGTCCTGGACTTTTTTTGGTTGGTGAGCTGTTAATTATTACCGCAATTTCAGAATCTGTTATTGGTCTATTCAGAGATCAATTTCTTCCTCGTTTAGTCTTGGGAGGGTGTATGTGTCCAGGAATTTATCCATTTCTTCTAGATTTTCTAGTTTATTTGCGTAGAGGTGTTTATAGTATTCTCTGATGGTAGTTTGTATTTCTGTGGGATCAGTGGTGATATCCCCTTTATCATGTTTTATTGCGACTATTTGATTCTTCTCTCCTTTTTTCTTTATTAGTCTTGCTAGTGGTTAATCAATTTTGTTGATCTTTTCAAAAAACCAGCTCCTGGATTCATTGATTTTTTTGAAGAGTTTTTTTGTGTCTCTATCTACTTCAGTTCTGCTCTGATCTTAGTTATTTCTTGCCATCTGCTGCCTTTGGAATGTGTTTGCTCTTGCTTCTCTAGTTCTTTTAATTGTGATGTTAGTGTGTCAATTTTAGATCTTTCCTGCTTTCTCTTGTGGGCATTTAGTGCTATAAATTTCCCTCTACACACTGCTTTAAATGTGTCCCAGAGATTCTGGTATGTTGTGTCTTTGTTCTCGTTGGTTTCAAAGAACATCTTTATTTCTGCCTTCATTTCGTTATGGACCCGGTAGTCATTCAGGAGCAGGTTGTTCAGTTTCCATGTAGTTGAGCAGTTTTGAGTGAGATTCTTAATCCTGAGTTCTAGTTTGATTGCACTGTAGTCTGAGAGACAGTTTGTTATAATTTCTGTTCTCTTACATTTGCTGAGGAGTGCTTAACTTCCAACTATGTGGTCAATTTTGGAATAAGTGTGATGTGGTGCTGAGAAGAATGTATATTATGTCGATTTGGGGTGGAGAGTTCTGTAGATGTCTCTTAGGTCCACTTGGTGCAGAGCTGAGTTCAATTCCTGGATACCCTTTTTAACTTTCTGTTTTGTTGATCTGTCTAATGTTGACAGTGGGGTGTTAAAGTCTCCCATTATTATTGTGTGGGAGTCTAAGTCTCTTTGTAGGTCTCTAAGGACTTGCTTTATGAAACTGGGTGCTCCTGAATTAGGTGCATATATATTTAGGATAGTTAGCTCTTCTTGTTGAATTGATCCCTTTGCCATTATATAATGGCCTTCTTTGTCTCTTCTGATCTTTGTTGGTTTAAAGTCTGTTTTATCAGAGACTAGGATTGCAACACCTACTTTTTTTTGTTTTCCATTTGCTTGGTAGATCTTCCTCCATCCCTTTATTTTGAGCCTATATGTGTCTCTGCACGTGAGATGGGTCTCCTGAATACAGCAAGCTGATGGTTCTTGACTCTTTATCCAATTTGCCAGTCTGTGTCTTTTAATTGGAGCATTTAGCCCATTTACATTTAAGGTTAATGTCATTGTGTGTGAATTCGATCCTATCATTATGATGTTAGCTGGTTATTTTGCTTCTTAGTTGATGCAGTTTCTTCCTAGCATCGAGGGTCTTTACAATTTGGCATGTTTTTGCAGTGGCTGGTACTAGTTGTTCCTTTCCATGTTTAGTGCTTCCTTCAGGAGCTCTTGTAAGGCAGGCCTGGTGGTGACAAAATCTCTCAGCATTTGCTTGTCTGTAAAGGATTTTATTTCTCCTTCACTTATGAAGTTTAGTTTGGCTGGATATGAAATTCTGGGTTGAATATTCTTTTTTTTAAGAATGTTGAAGATTGGCCCCCACTCTCTTCTGGCTTGTAGAGTTTTTGCCAAGAGATCCGCTGTTAGTCTGATGGGCTTCCCTTTGTGGGTAACCCGACGTTTCTTTCTGGCTGCCCTTAACATTTTTTCCTTCATTTCAACTTTGGTGAATCTGACAATTATGTGTCTTGGAGTTGCTCTTCATGAGGAGTATCTTTGTGGTGTTCTCTGTATTTCCTGAATTTTAATGTTGGCCTGCCTTGGTAGGTTGGGGAAGTTCTCCTGGATAATATCCTGAAGTGTGTTTTCCAACTTGGTTCCATTCTCCCCATCACTTTCAGGTACACCAATCAGACGTAAATTTGGTCTTTTCACGTAGTCCCATATTTCTTGGAGGTTTTGCTCATTTCGTTTTACTCTTTTTTCTGTAAACTTCTCTTCTCACTTCATTTCATTCATTTGATCTTCAATCACTGATACCCTTTCTTCCAGTTGATCGAATCAGCTACTGAAGCTTGCACATTTTTCACATAGTTCTTGTGCCATGGTTTTCTGCTCCATCAGGTCATTTAAGGTCTTCTCTGTGCTGTCTATTGTAGTTAGCCATTCGTCCAATCTTTTTTCAAGGTTTTTAGCTTCTTTGCGATGGGTTCGAACATGCTCCTTTAGCTCGGAGAAGTTTGTTATTACTGATCTTCTGAAGCCTTCTTCTCTCAACTTGTCAAAGTCATTCTCCGTCCAGCTTTGTTCCTTTGCTGGCGAGGAGCTGCTTTCCTTTGGAGGAGAAGAGGTGCTCTTATTTTTAGAATTTTCAACTTTTCTGCTCTGGTTTCTCCCCATCTTTGTGGTTTTATCTACCTTTGGTCTTTGATGATGGTGATGTACAGATGGGATTTTCGTGTGGATGTCCTGTTTGTTAGTTTTCCTTCTAACAGTCAGGACCCTCAGCTGCAGGTCTGTTGGAGTTTGCTGGAGGTCCACTCCAGACCCTGTTTGCCTGGGTATCACCAGCAGAGGCTGCAGAACTGCAAATATTGCAGAATAGCAAATGTTGCTGCCTGATTGTTCCTCTGGAAGCTTCGTCTCAGAGGGGCACACGGCTGTATGAGGTGTCAGTTAGCGCCTACTGGGAAGTGCCTCCCAGTTAGGCTACTCGGGAGTCAGGGACCCACTTGATGCAGTCTGTCCATTCTCAAACTCCGTGCTGGGAGAACGACTACTCTCTTCAAAGCTGTCGGACAGGGACATTTAATTCTGCAGAGGTTTCTGATGCCTTTTGTTCATCTATGCCCTGCCCCCAGAGGTGGAGTCTACAGAGGCAGGCAGGCCTCCATGAACTGTGGTGGGCTCTACTCAGTTTGAGCTTCCTGGCCACTTTGTTTACCTACTCAAGCCTCAGCAGTGGTGGGCGCCTCTCCCCCAGCCTCGCTGCCACCTTGCAGTTTGATCTCAGACTGCTGTGCTAGCAGTGAGCCAAGCTCCGTGGGTGTGGGACCCTCCGAGCCAGGTGCAGGATATAATCTCCTGGTGTGTCGTTTGCTATGACCATTGGAAAAGTGCAGTATTAGGGTGGGAGTGACCTGATCTTCCAGGTGTCATCTGTCATGGCTTCCCTTGGCTAGGAAGGGGAATTCCCCAAACCCTTGTGCTTCCCGGGTGAGATGATGCCTCGCCCTGCTTTGGCTCATGGTCCGTGGGCTGCACCCACTGCCCTGCACTTACTGTCCGACAAGCCCCAGTGAGATGCACCCGGTACCTCAGTTGGAAATGCAGAAATCACCCATCTTCTGCATCGCTCATGCTAGGAGCTGTAGACTGGAGCTATTCCTATTTGTCCTTCTTGGAACCTCCCCCTCAGAACTCAATAGATTTAGCAGCTAATTATACACAGCAGAAGATAGGATTGTAGAACTACATGACATTAGAAAATATCCAAAATGGATTAAACCTACCACCCAGAGTTTCAAGAAGCTCTGTGAAGCCCAGTAGGATGAATACACAGAAAATACCCAGATACATCATGGAAGAACTGAAAACCAAACAGAATCTTAAAAGCAGCCACAAGTGGAAAAGATTAATTATATTCAAAGCAACAACACTAAGATGAAGATGGATAGTGGGCTTCTCAGTAATAATTACTCAACCTGGAAGACAATAGAATGGCACCTTTAAAATGTTAAAAGAATAACTACCAACCTAGAATTCTATTCCCAGCAAAAAAATCCTCAAAAATGGAGGAGGTGTGAATCTTAAATGAAATTTTCTAAGTGAGAGAAGCCAGATTCAAGAGGCTATATATTATAATGCATTTATATGACATTCTGGAAAAGACAGAGCTATAGCAATGGAAAATAAATCAGTGATTACTAGGTATTGGAGGATAGGAGAGGGGTTTGCTATGTGGAATGCATGAGAAATTTAGGGGATGATGTAACTCTTCTGTATTATATAGTAGTGGTCTACCACAACATTCTTCTGTCAAACCTGTAAAATGACACCAGAAGGAGTAAACTGTACTATATGCAAATTTACAAGGATGTGCAGGAGAATTCTAGTGTGGAATTTATACTATGAAAATGCAACAAACTTTCACAAATGCGTAACATAAACTTCAGTGAGCAGAGTAGGGGGAAAAGAAGTGACTTAACTTTGGAAAATGGCATTTTGACTGGATGCTGTAAGGCTAAAGACAAAAAGAAAGGTACATAAACAATGTCTCTACTTGGTAAATTTGTTTCTTGGATGGGTGCATGTCAGCAATTCTGAAACTACAGGTATACTAGAGTTGAACAAATAAGCAAATAGATACTGAGAGGTAGGTAGATTTTTTCACTGTTGAAAGAAGTGACAAATAAGCCAAGGGGAAGGCTAGAATGAGCTCTTTGCTGCTGCGTTAGAGTTGGAGATACCTCATGCCAGTTAGAATGGTGATTATTAAAAAGTCAAAAAACAACAGATGCTGGCAAGGATGCAGAGAAAAAGGAATGCTTTTACACTGTTTGTGGGAGTGTAAATTAGTTCAACCGTCGTGGAAGATGGTGTGGTGATTCCTCAAAGATCTGGAGGCAGAAATACCATTTGACCCACCAATCCCATTGTTGGGTATATACCCAAAGAAATCTAAAACATTGTTTTATAAAAATACTAATACATGCACACGTATGTTCATTGCAGCACTATTCACAATAGCAAAGACATGGAATCAACCTAAAAGCCCATGAGTGATAGACAGGATAAATAAAATATGGTATATACACACCATGGAATATTATGCAGCCATAAAAAGGAACGAGATCATGTCCTTTGCAGAGACATGGATGGAGCTGGAAGCTGTTATCCTCAGCAAAGTAATGCAGCAACAGAAAACCAAACACTGCATATTTTCACTTGTAAGTGGGAGCTGAATGATGCAAACACATGGACACATGGTGGGGAACAACATACACTGGAGCCTATTAGGGCAGGAATGGGGAGGGAGAGCATCAAGAAGAATAGCTAATGGATGCTAGGCTTAATACCTAGGTGATGGGTTGATCTGTGCAGCAAACCATCATGGCACACCTTTACCTATGTAACAGACCTGCACATCCTGCACATGTACCCTGGCACTTAAAGTTGAAAAAAAAAAAAAGAATTGGGCTGGGCAGGGTGGCTCATGCCTATAATCCCAGCACTTTGGAAGGCCAAGGCGGGTGAATCACCTGAGGTCAGGAGTTCAAGACCAGCATGGCCAGCATGGTGAAACCCCATCTCTACTAAAAATACAAAAATTAGTCGAGTGTGGTGGTGCACTCCTGTAGTCCCAGCTACTTGGGAGGCTGAGGCAGGAGAATTGCTTGAACCTGGGAGGCAGAGGTTGCAGTGAGCTGAGATCACACCACTGCACTCCAGCCTGGGCGACAGAGCGAGACTCCAGCTCAAACAAAACAAAACAAAACAAACAAAACAGAATTGGAAATATCAGTATGAATTCATGGTTTAATTATATACAGATAGATAAATATAGACGTCTGTGTATACATGGGTTAGCGTATATACATATATTTTCTAGCTTTGTCTCCCGAGAGGGCCTAGAAGAACTGACACCCAGATCTTGGGATCTAAATATTATTATCTAGTAAAAGGAACCAGGACTCTTAGTAAAAGGAACCAGGAGACATGACCTATTTCAGGGCTGGGCATCTTGCAGTGCTGGAAAGTGAGGAAGTACTTAACGTAATGTCAAAAGGATACATAAGACAGCCCGAAAGAGCTCCCACGGTTAAAACTGGAGCAATTTGAACCACAAAATAATGATATTATTGGATCTCCTATTAATATTAATAAATGATTAAATAAATAGATAAATTGGGGAGAGAGGAGTTTATTTATTTATTTAGTATTATTTTTTTGAGACAAGGTCTTGCTCTGTTACCTAGGCTGGAGTGCAATGGTGCAACCATGCTTCACCGCATTCTTGACCTCCTGGGCTTAAGCAATCCTCCTACCTCAGCCTCCTGAGTAGCTGGGACCACAGGTGGCACCATCATGCCTGGCTAAATTTTAAATTTTATGTATAGATGAGGTCTCCTTATGTGGCTCAGACTAGTCTCAAACTCATAGCCTCAAGCGATCCACCTGCCTCAGCCTCCCAAAGTGCTAGGATTACAGGCGTGAGCCACCACACTCAGCTGGGAAAAATATTTTACAAAAGAATTTCAGCTATTAAATGTAGGAGGAAAAGGAGAAATAGAAAAATCACCCTTAGAAAAATCACAGTAATAATTGCTGCAGGCCAGGCACAGTGGCTCACACCTGTAATCCCAGCACTTTGGGAGGCCGAGGCAGGTGAATCACGACATCAGGAGTTCAAGACCAGCCTGGCCAAGATGGTGAAACCCCATCTCTACTAAAAATACAAAAACTAGCCGGACGTGGTGGTGGGTGCCTGTAATCCCAGCTACACAGGAGGCTGAGGCAGGGAATTGCTTCAACCCAGGAGGCAGAGGTTGCAGTGAGCCGAGATGGCGCCACTGCGCTCCAGCCTGGGGGACAGAGCGAGACAACGTCTCAAAAAAAAGAAAAAAAAATTGCTTCAGGCAGTATCCACTGATGAATGCCAAATTTGATGGCTGAAACTTTAAGGAGAAACAAGGTAGTTACATAGTGACACAATATTTTTTCTAAATTATTTAGTAATTTACTGTAGTGATTTTATGTCTTGTTCAAAATTGTTTGCTATTCCTCCCTCTGGGAAGCAGAGCTTAATTCTATGCCCCAACACCCCACCCTATTGTGGAATAAGTGACTTGTTTCTAATGACTAGAATATGTAAGGGGAAAATACTAGGTTTACAGTGGAGATACCTGGAAGACACTACCTTAACTAAGTGATTAAAGTGAAAATCTCCAGAAATAATTCATGTTGGTATCAGTGATTCACATGAATATCAAATATTCATGATGCAATGTGATGAAAAGGGAACTTTATTCTCTATGACATTCTTCCCCCACAGCTAGTATAATTATGAAAAAATATCAGACAAGCCCCATTTGAGGGACATTCTACAAGATACCTCAATAATATTCTTCAAAAGTGTCAAGGTCAGTAAAAACAAGGAAATACTGAGAAACTGACAGAATGGAGGAATCTAAGGAGACATGATGACTAAATGCAATGTGGTAACCTGGACAGGATCCTGGCATTTATAAGACTATAAATTTTTCTGAACATGGCTTCAGCTGGATCCTAATTTTTATATATTGTATTTTTATTCAAATTATTTTGTAATTTTTTTATAATTTCTTCTTCAACATATGGGCTACTTAGAAGTATACTTCTTTTAAGAATATTTGGGTATTTTATTTTTTGCTAACTTAAAAAATTGATTTCTAGCTTATTTCTATTGTATCACATAATATAGTCCATATAATTGCAGTCACTTAATATATGTAGAGATTTGCTTTCTGGCCAAGCCTATAATTGATTTTGGTAAATATTCTAACACTGATGAATTTGAAAAGAATGTGTTTTCTGCATTTCTTAGGTGCAGTGTTCTGTGAATATGAATTATATAGATCAACTTTGTCAATCTTGTTAAAATCTTCTATATTATTACTAATTTTTCTGTCTATGTTTTCCATACTTTTTTCTCTCCATGTTTCAGTCTAGCTATTTTTTTCTGTCCTTTCACTTTAATAATCCTCTCTTCAAGTTGTCTAATCTGCTGATAAACTCAATCTATTGAGTTCTTAATTTGATTTATTATATTTTTCAGTTCTAATATTTCCATATGGTTTGTCTTTTATAATTTTCAGTCCTCTGTGGAAATTCATTTTGTTTTATATTTCCTTGAGCATGTTAATCACATATATTTTAAAGTCTATGTCAATAAATCCAATATCTGGACTTCTTGTAGATCCATTTCTATTGTCTCTCTTTTTCTCTTAGTTTTTGGTCATTTGACCCTATCTCCAGTGAAGTAGAGTAAATTTTGATTCAGTGACTGACTTTGTGCATGAAAAGTTGTAAAGGAAATTTGAGGCTTTGGGTGGTATTAACTTTCTTTAGAGAGATTTACTTTTGCTTCTGGAAGTTGGAGTTGGGCAGATTATGTTACTAGTCAGAGATTGAGCTGCCTGGAAGCTGTTTTCGTCTTTGTGAGGAGTAATTTATTTCCACTTTGTACTCTAAAAGTGTAGCTCTTTGGGGTTCCAACTAAAATTCTAGGATATTTGCCAGAGTCCCTCCTCCTTGGCGGGCCCTGAACACTAAGCCTATCCTCATAAGACTGCTGGTGGATCTGCCTGTTTCTCAGCCTCTAGTGAACTATCAGATGCTGATTATCAGGATCACTTCTTTAAGGTTCTCTTCTCTGTATGATCTTGGAGATGTATTCTACATCATCAGTCTTTTTGCAGGATCATGAAATTGTAGAAATTTAGAGATGAAAGTGACCTAATTATAGACCAACCTTCTAGACCAACCTAAAACCCAGAAACTCATACTCACATCTCCCCATTCCTTCTCCAGTGCTCTTCCATTAACATGTATAATAAGTTAGCTGAAATGAATAAAGTTAACGTAAAATTGAGCTATATTGTAAAGGGTTAGATAGCAAAATGTCTTTAGTTGTAATGAGCAAAACACAGTAAGTGTTTTATAAGCTAGTAGGTAGGACAACAAGATATAGTAGTCTCTCCTTATTTTGTGGGGGATAAGTTCCAGGACCTGCAGCAGATGCCTGAAACCTCAGATAGTATCAAACCCTGTGCAATATGTACTGTTTTTCCCGACATGTACATACCTGTAATGAAGTTTAGTTTATAAATTACGTATATAAGAAGTTAACAACAGCTAAAAATAGAACAATTATAGCAATATACTATAATAAAAATTATGGAAATATGGTCTCACTTTCTGCCAAAATATCTTATTGTATTATATTAACCTATTTTTGGACAATGGTTGACTGCGGGTAACTGAAACCTCAGAAAGTGAACCCATGGATAAGGGGGGATTACTATAAAGTTAAAAAAAAAAAGACATCTTCTTACTTCACTAAACTATATTTCACTACTTAACTGTATAGTAATTAATAAAAGTAAGGGGATATTATTCATTTTTTTCTGTATGAGCCTAAAATGGTAATGATAATATTTGAAAAAAATTGAATGTTTAAAATTTATAATGATTTACAAATTAACAGTCCGAATCAACAAAATAGTTTATATTGAATCCACAATGTCTGCATTTTAGAAGTTAGACATCGTTTTTGATACATGTCCTTAACACATAGATAGAATTACTGATAAGGAGTGGGGATGCACAGTAATAGCACAGGAGTAACAAGTCACAGACACCTTCCTTCAGAATTCAGGCAGTTCGCATGTGATGTGAGTAGGGTAGGAATTATGTTGACCTGGAAAGCATATATCTTCAGTTCAACCTACATCTGCCATTCAGCTCCAAGTAATTATTGGCATGTAGAAAAATAAGCTCTGTGCTATCCATCTTTTTCAATTATTGAAGAAAAACTAGAAATACAGATTTCAACATGAAATCTATTGAATTCTAAAAAATCGGAAGTAAGTTGAAAGTTTTAAAACAAAATATATTTCTGAGCCAAATCATCTCTACAATGGGGATTAAAGATCTCTACCACAAATCTTTTAGGCTTTTAAATTATGCATTAATTCGATAACCTTTTATAAACCATTTCTCAATCTATGCCTTAAGAGAATTGAAAATTTAATGGGCATCACATGCCATGCAAATTAATAACTATACTATCACGTAGTATGTATTATGTATCATAATAGAATCATGAGCAAAGTATTAGGGTAGTTCAGAAAGGGCACATTAAATTTGTTAACTATCTAAAGAATAAATTTTTGAATTCTAAATTAGCAGTAAATAAAAGTCAGTGGAGTTTTGGGTGGTTTAAAATAAGAAAAGTATGAGGGAAAACTGGGTAATTAATGGTATAATATGTGGTAAATAACATTAAGCAGCATTTCAATACCCCATAAAATTAAAAATGGTATGGATAGAATCATACCCCTTTCTGATTATTATGATTTGTAGAATGTATATCTTTATACCCCATGGAAAACTGATAAAATGGGTGTTAGCCACATTGCAGAAAAATAGCATTAGAATATATTTGTACTAGAGTAGGATTTTATTAACTTTATGCTTTCTATTATAAATTATTAAACTTTTTATTAGAACTTTAATTTTTTCTTCCATCTGTCTTTAAGCAGCTTTTAAAAGTTATAAAAATTCTTATTAAATGTCAATGAGAAAAAATATTAAATTTAATAAAAAATGTTGTCTCTAACTTCAATAAAGTACCTAGAATACAGAATCTTAATAAAAGTGTTTATTTTTTATTAGATGCCTTAGGACTACAAGGATATAAGTGTTTTTACAAAAACAATAAAAGAGGAGTAATTTGATGGTTTATTTACTCTTTATAACCTTTAGAAAGTGTCATGCCTTTTTTAAAGTGTTTGCTTCAGGCAGTAGTTTTACAAGATGGGCTATGTATTGGTCAGGCCTCTTCAATTCTTGACCCTGAACAGATTTAGGTACATACGCCAGGCACGTGTCCAAGCAGCCAAAATTGTAACTGGGTACTTGTACATTCCTTTTCAAACTGATAATCCACCTCCTACGAAATTGCTCAACTCAGTTTCTCATGTTGTCTAAGAAAATACTAATCACTCTTCCAGATAGTTTCTTGGTCTGAAAAGTACTCAAGAGAAATATTTCTAACATTCATGGGCTAGCCTAAAAGTTTATATTTACACAAATCTCTTTCTTAATAGTATTTGAACCATGATTTTCACATTGGTCAGCTTAATCTATTACAAAGATTTCTGATATAGAAAATTATCTATTAATATTAGAAAATTCATAGCAATTCTTACATTCTTTTGTTTTTCATTCAACAAATATTTCTAGTTTTTATTTTGAGATGTTTTACCAAATAACCAGATTGTGCTTGCATATTTTACATAGGTAAAATGATTTTGAATGGTTTCCTAAATTTGAGGGGATATAAAGATTAACTTCTGAAGTTTTTGAAGGAAAGGAATATATATCATAACAATCCATACTGTTCTGCAGCATCCACAATCTCTTCAAGGTAGTGTAATGCAACATTTAAGAGACTTTGGAGACAGATGATCTGAGTTTGAGTACTGGCTCTGCCATTTACCTCCTGTGTGACTTTAGCCAAGCTATTTACCCTCTTGCTATCTCAGGTTCCTTATGTATAAAATGGCAATAGTAAGAGAACCTACCTCATTATATTATGTCCAGGATTCAATTAATCAATAAATAAAAAGTACTTAGAACAATATCTAGATCATGGTAAGGCCTCAGAACCCACTCTAACCACTGAAAGAGAAGTGGTTAAAAGAGAACCAGACCTACATGATGAAAACAGTATCTTATACATTTTCAGTCCAACTGCTTTGAGAAGAGATGCATGTTTTATGTACACTCCTTCCCAAAACAAATGTATATATGTACATTTATTTCCTTTTTCAATATGTTTTAATAATAGAAAGGTATTACTGTAAGAGATTGTAATCTCTCCTCATTTATGTATCTTGTAGTATATACTGTTGGTATGGATTTCCTCCCTTCTTCCATGTTGGAAAAACCCTAAATGTGTCATAGGGTCCACCTCTCATGACTGTGAGTCAGATAAGTCCTCACTTTAATCACCTGTAAAGATCCAATGTACTTCCCCTGCCAATGACTGGCTTAGGAGAGGGTATGTGACCCAGTTATGGCCAATGAATTATTAGGGAATGTGTGTTGGGAAGCTTCTGGAAAAGCTTTTGTTAACCTTTTTTTAAGAGAATACACTTTTTCTACTGCAAGATGTTCTCTGACTTGTCGTTAATGCCTAAAATGAAAGTAACCATTTTGCAACCATGAGGGGTGGAAAGCATGATGAAAATCACTGATAATGGCAAAATGGAAAGATGAGCAGAATCATAGTATTGATGATATTGTTGAGTGGGCCACTGAAATAATCAATTGTAGAAGCACTCTACTTTTAGACTCCTGTTCATGTGAGATGCTAACTCCCATAAGCCATTGTGAGCTGGATTTTGTTGTTGTTACTTGCGGCTAAAAACGTTCTAAATGAGACAACTTTCATGAAAGTCTATCTTTGAGTAACATAGCATAAGTGTATATATGTGTATGTATGTATAATAAAGCAAAGGACATAAAAGTGAGTCATAGGCTGGGCACGGTGGCTCATGCTTGTAATCCCAGCACTTTGGGAGGCCGAGGCGAGCAGATCACGAGGTCAGGAGATTGAGACCATCCTGGCTAACACAGTGAAACCCCGTCTCTACTAAAAATACAAAAAATTAGCCGGGCACTGTGGCGGGTGCCTGTAGTCCCTCCCAGCTACTCGGGAGGCTGAGGCAGGAGAATGGTGTGAACCCAGGAGGCAGAGCTTGCAGTGAACTGAGATCGCACCACTGCACTCCAGCCTGGGCGACAGAGCAAGACTCTGTCTCAAAAAAAAAAAAAAAGTGAGTCATAGAAAAATATTTCATTTAAAAAGCACATATTTTATATGTTAATATCTACTCTTTGGTTTCTCTCCAACATGTTGTTATGAAAATTGTCAAACATACAGCAAAACTGAAAGAATTTTACAGTGAACACTCATATAACATTAATATTTTTCTATTTTTGCTTTATCACATATCTATCTATCCCTCTTTTGACTTTATTCTGTTGATTTCAAAGTAAATTGCAGACATCAGTATACTTCCTCCTGATATTTAAAATGAATATCATGGGCCAAGTGCAGTGGCTCATTCCTGTAATCGCAGCACTTTGGGAGGCCGAGGCAGGCAGATCACCTGAGGCCAGGAGTTTGAGACCAGCCTGGCCAACATGGTAAAACCCCATTTCTACTAAAAATATAAAAATTAGCTGGGCATGGTGGCATGTACCTGTAATCTCAGCTACTTGAAAGGCTGAGGCAGGAGAATTGCTTGAACCTGGGATGCGGAGGTTGCAGTGAGCCAAAATTGCACCACTGCACTCCAGGCTGGATCTGGGTGACAGAGCGAGACTGTGTCTCAAAAAATAAAAAATAAAATAAGTATCATTACAAAGAGTTTATTATTTCTCTACAGCTTTTTTCCTTACATTAAAGTTTATATACAATGAAATGTACACGTCTTAGCTGTACATTCAGTGAGTTTTGACAGGTGAATACACCTGTATAATTGAAACCTTATCAAGATATAAAATATTTTCATCAACCCAGAAAGCTCCCTCATGCCTCTTCCCAGGCAAATTCTATCTTTAATGCCCACTCCAAGAGATAATTACTCTCTTGATTTGATGTGATTATAAGTTGCATTTTAAATTTTGGTTTCTGCATATTCATTGTTAAAATATAGAAATGTGACATTGTTTTTAGTGTGTTAATCTTGTATCCTGTGACCTTCTTAAATTCACTTACTATTTTTGGGAGTTTTTTTTGTAGGTTCCTTAGTATTTTCTATGCATACAATCATATCATCTGCAAATAGAGGTAGTTTTATTTTTTCCTTTCCAATCTGTTTATTTATTTGTGTATGCCTGATAGTGGCTAAAACTTTCAGTATTATATTTAATAAGAGCGATGAGAATAGACATCCCTACATTGTTTCTGATCTTAAAGGGAAAGCATTCAGTCTTTCACCATTAAATATGATGCTAAGTGTACGGTTTTTGTAAGTGTTCTTTACAAAAAGCAAGGATAATATTTTTATTCCTAACTTGGTAAGAGTTTTTATCAAGAATGGATGTTGAATTTTGTTAAGTGTTTTTTCTGTGTTGGTTGATGCGATCATATGATTAGCGTATTGATGTAATAAATTATACTGATTGATTTTCAACTGTTGAACCAGCTTTGCATACCTGCAATAAATTCCACTCATATAATTTTTAAATTATATTGTTGGATTCTGTTTGCTAACATGTTATTAAGGATTTTTGCATCAAAATTTGTGAGAAGTATTGGTCAGAGTATTCCCTTTGTGCTGTCTTTGGTATTGGTATTATGGTAAATAGGTCTGATAAAATCAGTTAGTATGTGTTTCCTCCTCTTCTGTTTTTCTGGAAGAGACTGTGTAAAAGTGGTGTTAATTCTTTAAATATTTGGTAGTATTCTCCAGTGAAACCATCTGGGCCTGAAGATTTCTTTTTGGGAGGCTTTTTATTAAGAACTCAACTCCTTTTATAGTTATAGGGCTATTTAGATTGTCTGTATTATCTTGGTTGAGTTTTGATAGTTTGTGGCTTTCGAGACATTGGCCAATTTCTCTAAGTTGTCAAATTTCTGAGTGTAAAGTTTTTTTGTAGCATTTGCTTATTATCTTTTTAATAGTTATGTTTTTGTACGTGGTCTCTTTTAGCTCTTTGACCATATTTAAAATAGTTTGATTAAAAGTTTTATGTAGTACATCTAATTTCTGGGCTTCCTAAAGTATAATTTCCATTAATTTTTTTCCCCCATATAATGGGCTACACTTTGCTTTTACTTTGCATGCCTTGTAACTTTTTGTTAGAAACATTTTGGATATATGGCAGCTCTGGAAATCAGACTCTTCTCACTTTCTAGGGTTCCTGCTTCTTGTCTTTGTTTAGTGTGTCTTTGAACTAATTTGCCTTTGAACTAATTTGTAAGGTCTGTTGTCTTTGTTGTGTGTGGCTACTGACTTTGCTGTTATATTAGTGGTCAGCTAGTGATCGCAGAGATTTCTTTAAATATCAAAGGAAACAAAAAATCTCCTAGATTTTGCAGAAGGGCTCTGTGTGTGTGTGTTGAGGCACACCTTCAATACTTAAACCAGGCAGTTTTCAACTCTGCCTGTTATTCAGCAGAAGCTTCAGATTTCTCTAGTGATACCTTATGTTTATGATGTGGGCGAATTCAGGAGTATTACATTATTTCAAACAAAACCAGAGAGTATTTCTAAATGACTGCTTCCTGCTTGGCATTGGGCCTTCCCACTTGTCTTTGGGTCTTTTCTTTGTCCTGCTTCCCAGAGAAACTCTGTCTTTGCAGCTCTCCTTGCTGTATCTCCTTGTTCTTTTTACTTGATGCTTATTGGCATGGTGGTGGTGGTGGAAGATAGGGGAAGAAGGGCGTTCTCTGATATTCTCATTAAACCTTAGTCTTAGGTGAACCTGAGTCTCAGGATGAGATCTTCATGAGTGTTTGGTCCCTCCTTCATATGTAATGCTGGGCCTAGCATGTATTCCTGCCCCTCCCACAATGAAAGAACTGTTGTTGCCTTGTTCTCCCAGTCCTCCTCTTCCCAGCTGCTGCTTAGAGGAGATAAGGAAGATAGGTCTGCCTAGGTAGAATTTTTAGTGATGACTTTTGGTCCCCTTGCCCAGCTGCAGAGGGTTTCCACTAGTGCTTTTAGCTATAGTTTCTGTTGCCCTCCCCTCTGCAGATTAAGGGTTTTGATCTGTAGAGGAAATAGGGAAGATGGTTTGGGACTGCTCTTCCCCTACATAGCCAGTGCTGCAGGGGAAAACTTTTATAGGATTTTTCTCAACCTTTTCTGTAAGCACCTGGTGGGTTTCCTAGAAGAAAAGCCTGCTAGAAAGTACAAACCTCCCTATTTCAGGAGATTCATATTTTTACAGTAGCCTACATTCTACCTTTAGCAATTTATTAAGGACTTTTCGTTGAAGCTTCTTACCAGTCCTCAGTAGCTTATGTCCCAGGTAAGCAAATGTCAGGGTTCTGTTTCTCTAGGCACCTGTCTCTATCCAGATTTTGGGCACTTGATTGATCTGGGACCTCAGTTCTATGATGGACTTGTCTATTTAATTTGCAGTTTGTCTAGATTTTTTTCTTGTTGTAAAGGTGGGAGTATGCTATTTCTATATCTCTCCAGAAAGAGCTGAAACTGGAAGTTTTAAAGTCTTTATTTTTATAGCACTTTTCTTTTTCTTTTTGACTTAGGAAGCAGAAATTCATTATGAAGAGCAGATTGGTAAAATTATTGTGGAGACACAGGAACTTAAATGGCAAAAGGTGAGTAATATGATTAGGCTTTGTGTCCCCAGCCAAATCTCATCTTGAATTGTAATCCCCGTAACCCCCACGTGTCAAGGGAGAGACAAGGTGGAGGTAATTGAATCATTTGGGCAGTTTCCCCATGCTGTTCTCCTGATAGTTCTCATGAGATCTAATGGTTTTATAAGGGGCTCTTCCCTCTTCGCTCAGCACTTCTCCTTTCTGTCACCTTGTAAAGAAGGTGCCTTGCTTCCCCTTCGCCTTCCATCATGATTGTAAGTTTCCTGAGGCCTCCGCAGACATGCTGAACTGTGAGTCAATTAAACCTCTTTCCTTTATAAATTACCCAGTCTTGGGCAGTTCTTTGTAGCAGTATGAAAGCTAACTAATACAGTGAGTATTTTTTTTCTCTCAGATTAGTATTTATAGCATCTATTTTAAAATGTATTCTAATCCTTATTGCCAAGTTAATTTTTAAATTTTCTAACATATTCAGGTGTTAGTGGATTATTTTAAAATCTCAAGAAAATCCCAACTAAAACTGTTGGTAACATTTAGGCTTCCAGAAAACTGAGAATAAGAATTTTGTTCAGGCTTTTTGATACGGCACTGTGAATAACTCTGAAAACTATTTTACATCTGAGAAACACATTGTGTGTTATAGGGGAGTGAGAATATTTTGAAAACAATGAAACCTCATAACTCGTCCCTTATTTTTCCAGGGTGTTATTACATAATGTAACCAAATATTAAAAAATAGTAGCAGCTCTTATTTTCTCCATAGCTTTATCTGTATTGAAGCATTTATGATAGTGCTTCTCATGCTGTTCCATCAGAGTAATCTTAACAACTAAAACCTGAAAGTGTAATTATGCTGATTTCTGTTCTCATTGTTTGGTAATATTGAAACAGGAATTGGGGGTAACATCAGAATCAGAAGTCAGGTGATAGTGGATAGACCAAACTAGAAATAATTGGAATTTCAAGGCTAGACAGATCCAAAGGTTGTGCAGATTGTGGGAGTAAAATCAGGGTTGAATTATATGAAGGACAAGTCTGAAACAGACCTATCTGTGGAGGGAAAGAATATGGAGGGAAAGAATAGGTAAATACTAAGTACAACTAATTTCAAGCAGATTTTAAAATGTAAAGTTATATCTTGTTTTTGCATAGAGCTAACAGCATAAAGTTATCACAGTCCCTAAGGTAAGTTTAATGAACCCAATTTAATGACCAACTGCAGTGGCTCACGCCTGTAATCCCAGCACTTTGGTAGGCCAAGGCAGGAGGGTTACTTGAAGCCAGGAGTTCAAGACCAGCCTGGGCAACATAGTGAGACCTTGTCTCTATTAAAAAATACATATATTAGCAGGACGTGGTGGTGTGTGCCTGTAGTCCTAGCTCCTCGGGAGGCTGAGGTGGGAGGATCACTTGAGCCCAGGAATTTGAGGCTGTAGTGAGCTATGTTTGCGCCATTGCACTCCAGCCTGGGTGCAGAGCGAGGCTCTGTCTCTAAAAATAAATAAATAAATCCAATTTAAAATGTCAAGAACATATTTTTGGTACTTAAGCTTATTCTAAGGTTTATGTGGAAATAAACATACAAGAGTGGCTGGGAAATTTAAAAAGAAGGGAATGAAATAGTCATACTTGATTCTTAAACATAATATAAAGCTGTCATAATTAAAATAGCTTGGTGCAGTATACATAGTTATTTAGTAGAACACAACAGAATCTAGAAATAGATCCAAATACATAAGATAATTTAGTGAATGTTAACGGTGGCCTTTAAATCAGTGGGGAATAATGGATTATTCAAGAAATGGTATTAGAGCTGGATTCCATCTGAAGAAAAAGCCAGATTCCTACCTTTACCAACTTTTAGAAAAACAAGAACTTTCATATGTTGTTAGCAGTGTAAATTAGAACTGCCTGGTTGCATTCCCTCAAATATCACCAAACAACTTGTTAATAAAGCAGGTATGTTTATTGAAACTCATTGCAGTAAGTGAAAACACTACTTTTACAGAGTCTTAGTATTTCAAAAGGTGCAAATCAGTATTGGACTATGTAGAGGGTTATAGGGTCTAGGTGCAAGCAGATTTAGGCAGATCTTTTAAGGGAGGATATTGATGGGGATTGGGCAAATTTTGTAATGCAGTATTTTAGGATTGTGAATGTGGCAACATTGAAGCTCTTGAAGCTACTCTTGAGAATAAATAGTTGTTTGATAAACCAGATGTTTACCCAAATAAACTATTGTCTCAGATAAGTTGTTTTGCAGCAGTTGCCTGAAACAAACAGTGATATAATTTATTGGTTTTTATAGTCTTATATTTACTGGGCAAAGGTTTCCTGGAACAAAAAACTAAGTTGTGTTGACACAGGTATTCTCAGTTCTTACTCTGAATATCTCTGTTATATTGATGCAGGTGGTTTTAGTTCTCAGTCCCCTTTTGCTTCTTCAACCTGAGCTGGAAAATAAAATAAACTATTATTATTTAGGATGTGATCAATCAAGATTTATGCTGCTTGATGAAGAGTCATGATGGCATGTAGGTGGTTTCTGGTGGTGTGTGTGTGTGTGTGTGTGTGCGTGTGTATCAGTTTTTCCTTTTGTTGGATCATAATTTGTTGGATCACTTTATAGGACAGTGGCTATGCAACAGTACTTAAGATTCCAGAAGTTACACTTCTGAACACACCAACGTGGAAAAACACTAAAGAAAAGTTTGTTATCAGAACTTGTAGATCACTTTAAAGCCAGCAGCTAGGAATACCTATATTAAACCAAGAGAACAGAGGCCATCCCCAAATCAAAAATTTCCATTAGTAATTGGACTCACACCATAGAGTGGCCAAGAATGTAGGGAGCAATATTAAGGATAAGGACCTTTGAAACCATCATGGTTAATAAATAATATGTTTTTACTCACTTAAGGGGCTGGATTAAGAAAGGGGAAAGAAAGTACCTCAGAAAATAAAGAACAAAAGCCTGCAAATAAAAGCATTGCAATCTTTAGCTCTGATTATCTAGGTAGGGTGTTAGCAAGCTTTTTTTGTAAAGAGCCACGTAGTAAATATTTCAGACTTTGTGGACAGTATGGTCTCTGTCACAACCATTCAACTTTGTTATAGTGTAAAAGCAGCCATGGACAGTACTTACATGAATCAGTGTGTCTATGTTCCTATAAAATGTTATGGACACTAAGATTTATATTTTATACAATATTCAGGTGATTTGAAATGTTATTTTTTTATTTTTCTTTTTAACCCATTAAAAATATAAAAACCATTCCTGGCTCACAGGCCATATAAAAACAGACTCTGTAGGTCTTGGGTAGAGGCTGTCTTGATCCATACCTCTTGAATGGTAGCTGTTTCTTTCTGAATATGTCTGCTTCTGAAGCTTTCTCAAGACTCCTTAGATTTAAATTTCTTGATGGAATGGCATTCCATGTATTAGTGAAACCTAGTGTCTGTTCATCTGGGAGACATGAATTCAAGGATCTATTCCCCAGGGGTTAGCTACTGTGCTGGCAGTTCTTGGTAGGATTATTTCCAACATGGTTTCAGGATATTTGTTTTTTCTTTCTGAGGTCATTTCTAGAAGACATTACCTCTGAGCTTTTGGTCATATAGAAGAAAAGCAACTGTTATCTGTTTGTGATAAGACTCTGAAACAGATTACATTAGTCCCTTGGAGTGTTTTGCCACATTTGTCTGAAGTAAAGAAATGTCCAAAATCAGGGGAGAAGTAGCCAACTTCATAGGGCAAACTCTTAACAAGTTTATATGGTAAAAGCCAATGAATATAGGGGAGTATGGACTTCATGGTGTTATGAGTTAGAGGTAACCTTCTTGGTCATGGAAGTTTAAGAGTGTCAGATACAGTGTGCCATTAGTCCTCTCTACTTTTCTTCAAGTTTGAGGATGATGGGGGCAATGAATTTCTAAATAAATGACAAGGTTTTGCAAAGTTCTGTAATGACAGTCCCAGTAAAATGAGTAACCCTGTCCCTGGAGATAGATCCTCAGGTTGGAAACACAAAATCAAGTAATTTGTTTTTCTACTCACAGAACTGTAGCTCTCTGGCAAGAAGTTTTAGTTCATCCTGAAAAGATGGAAGCAATGATGAACATACTCAGAACCTGTTCTAGGGGTTAATTTTAGGAAATCCATTTGAAAGTGTTTATAGGGACCCTAAGGCTTGGATTTACAAGGATAACAGTTTTACCAAGACAGTGCTAATGACAGCTGTACACCAGAGACATCCTCAGCAATTTTAGTAAAATTTCACCACCAATGCTGATTGAATATAATGTTCAGTTTGTCCTTGCTCTGAGGGGTAATTTCCTATAAAATTTTTACAAAGTTCCATTGAGGTCCTCTGGTGCCACCAAGTGTCTGTCCTGAAAGTGTCCTGAAAGAGATTTTCTTTTTGTAATTTATTATCACATTTTTTCTTCAGACTCTGGAGCCAGTTGTAGGCATTCCAAAATAGGCTTTTTAAACTTCTTCAAAGATTTGGCTTTTTGGATATCATGGGGGCCGGGACTGTATGTCATAAAGATTAGCTAGGGTATTTCCTCTAGCCTTAACGTTATCCCTTTCAGTGTGGCTTTATGATAACCATCCCCTAAGGAAGCATTAGAACACTTAAAATGGTTGACTACTTGAAATTGGGATTCCTACTGAGATCGGAAACCATAATTATTTTTACAGTATTCCAAAATCATGGACAACACCAAAGGCATAGCTGCTATTAATGTTAACTCTCTAATGTCTTGGCAACTGGCAAGCTTTGCTGAATAGAATAAGTTCTGTCATCTGGGCTGGTTTAACCTCTGGTAAGGAGTCATGATTTAGGGGTCAGTTGAGACTGTTGCAATATATCCTGCCTGATATTTTTTCCATTTCACTTTCAAAAAATGACCTATCAACAAACAAGATTACATGTAAATTTAATCCGGGGGGAGTTTCTAATAAATCTGTCTGAAGCACAGTTATTGCTTAGACAGAGACTGAGTCGTCATGGATTTTCCTTTCTTTGGGTAATGGAAAAACAATACCAGGCTTTTTGTTAAACTTGTCTATGAGTAACACTTATTAGAAATAGAGATCAAAGAGATATACTTTATATAGGAAGTTATTGATTATCAAAATATTTCTTGAAAGAAAGTTTGGTAGGTGCTCTGTTCAATCCCCATCTCTTTACTACATTAGTATATTTTTTCATTAAGATATAAAAGCATTTTAACCTGTTTCTATTCAAGCATTTATATATGCTATATATAAAATGAAGTGTATATATACATATTTATAATGAATAACATAAAAAGTAAATTAGTATATACATGTACATATATGTAAGCTTAGGTAAGATTATATGACAGACTTATTGGCAATTTTAGGGGGCAATTGTCAAATAGTATTATTGTATAGTTTGTGCAAATTAAAAATTAAAGAGAAATAAGCAATGAGTTTTTCTTTTTCAGTTTTCATGCCTCTTATTTTTTATTTAGATCTTTATTTTAATTGAAAAATAAATATTGTATATATGGGCTACAATGTGATGTTTTGATACACCTGTGTATGTATATGTTGTGGAATGGTTATATCAAACTAATTAACATATCCATCACTTCAATGCTTATTTTTTTATAGTGAGAATATTTAAAATCTACTTTTACCAATTTTGAAATATACATTATTATTAACTATGCTTACTACATGCTGTGCAGTAGATCTCAAACTTATTCTTTCCATCTAACTGGAACTTTGTACCCTTGATCAACATCTCCCTTCCCTCCACCCCAGGCCTCCACCTCCCTAGCTTCTTGTAACCACTATTCTACTCTCAACTTGTATAAGTTTGACTTTTTTAGGTCCCATATATAAGTGAGATCATGTGGTATTTGTCTTCCTGTTAGTAGACTTTCAGGTATTATAGCACTGGGTGGAAATGTGTGGGGGAGAAAGTAATAAAAGTTCATAGGAGGTGAACCTGCTTGCTGAGAAATGTGTTTTTAGTAAATAACAAGGATTGCGCAGCATGAGGTATCATGAAGTCTAAATAAATCCTTAAACCACATTAGTAGAAGCCTCTACTAGTTTGACAGCTGCTAATACTGCCCTTGATAAGGAGCTGGCTTTTGCCACTAGGTCTAAGGGAAGACTGTAATAAACAATTAGACCCTGATGACTCCCATGGTGTTCTGTTAGAGCATTAAGGGCTTGTCTACACTGCTGAGGTACAAATAGGTAGAAAGCTTTATGACAATCGGAAGACCCAGAAAGGGGCGCTGTTAAAGTTTTTGTTTTTGTTTTTTTCAATAGGTTTTTAGGGAGCAGGTAGTGTTTAGTTACATGAATAAGTTCTTTAGTGGTCATTTCCAAGATTTTGGTGCACCCATCACCCGAACAGTCTACACTGTACCCAGTGTGTATTCTTTTATCCCTCACCCCTCTCCCAGCCTTTTGCCTGATTCCCCAAAGTCCAATGTATTATTCTTAGGCCTTTGTGTGCTCATAGCTTAGCTCCCTCTTGTGAGTGAGAACATATGATATTTGGCATAAAGTCTCCAATTTCATCCAGGTTGCTGTGAATGCCATTATTGCATTCCTTTTTATGGCTAAGTAGTATTCTGTGGTATGTGTATACCATATTTTCTTTATCTACTTGTTGATTGATGGGCATTTGGACTGGTTCCATATTTTTGCAGTTGCAAATTGTGCTGCTATAAACATGGATGTACAAGTATTTTTTTGGTATAATGACTTCTTTTCCTCTGGGTTGAAACCTAGTAGTGGGGTTGCTGGATCAAATGGTAGATCTACTTTTAGTTTTTTAAGGAATCTCCACACTATTTTCCATTGTGGTTGTACTAGTTTACATTCCTACAAGCAGTGTAAAAGTGTTCCCTTTTACCACCTCCACACCAACATCTATTATTTTTTGATTTTTTGATTATGGCCATTCTTGCAGGAGTAAGGTGGTATCACATTGTGGTTTTGATTTGCATTTCCCTGATCATTACTGATGTTGAGCATTTTCCCATATGCTTGTTGGCCATTTGTATATCTTTTTTTTAAGACTCTGGATATTGTTCTTTGTCAGATGTATAGATTGTGAAGATTTTCTCCCACTCTGTGGGTTGTCTGTTAACTCTGCTGATTATTTCTTTTGCTGTGCAGAATCTTTTTAGTTTAATTAAGTCCCATCTATTCATCTTCATTTTTGTTGCATTTGCTTTGGGTTCTTGGTCATGAGATAGATGGCAACACAATAATAGTGGGGGACTTTAATACTCCACTGACAGTGCTAGACAGATCATCCAGACAGAAGGTCAACAAAGAAACAATGGACTTAAACTGTACCCTAGAACAAATGGACTTATCGTATATTTACAGAACATTCTACCCAACAACTGCAGAATATGCATTCTGTTAATCAGTACATGGAACATTCTCCAGGAAAGACCATATGATAGGCCACAAAACAAGTCTCAGTAAGTTTAAGAAAATCAAAATTATATTAAGTACTCTCTCAGACCACAGTGGAATAAAATTGGAAATCAACTCCAAAAGGAACCCTCAAAACCATACAAGTACATGGAAATTAAATAGCCGGCTCCTGAATGATCATTGGGTCAACAATGAAATCAAGATGGAAATTTAAAAATTCTTTGAACTGAATGAAGTTAGTGACACAACCTATCAGAACCTCTGGGATACAGCAAAAGTGGTGCTAAGAGGAAATTTCATAGCATTAAATGCCTGTATCAAAAAGTCTGAAAGAGCACATACAGACAATCTAAGGTCACACCTCACAGAACTGGAGAAACAAGAACAATCCAAACCCAGCAGAGGAAAAGAAATAACAAAGATCAGAACAGAACTAAGTGAAATTGAAACAAGAAAAACAATACAAAAGATAAACAAAAAACTGATTCTTTGGAAAGATAAATAAAATTGATTAGTGAGATTAACCAAGAAAAGAGAGACGATCCAAATAAGCTCAACTAGAAATGAAACAGGGGATGCTACAACTGATACCACAGAAATACAAAAGATTATTCAAGGCTGCTATGAACACCTTTATGTGCATAAACTAGAAAACTTAGAGGAGACGGATAAATTCCTGGAAATATACAAACCTGCTAGATTAAACCAGGAAGATATAGAAACTCTGAACAGACCAATAACAAGCAGTGAGGTTGAAGTGGTAATAAAAAAATTATCAACAAAAAATGTCTAGGACCAGACGGATTCACAGCTGAATTCTGTCAGACATTCAAAGTATTGGTACCAATCCTGCTGACACTATTTCAAAAGAGAAAGAGGGAATCCTCCCTTAATCATTCTGTGAAGCCAGTATCATCCTAATACCAAAACCAGGCAAGGACATAATAACAACAACCTACAGACCAATATCCCTGATGAACATAGATGCAGAAATCCTCAACAAAATACTAGCGATCCAAATCCAACAGCAGGCTGTGCATGGTGGCTCACACCTGTAATCCCAGCACCTTGAGAGGCTAAGGTGGTGGATCACCTGAGGTCAGGAGATCAAGACAAGCCTGGACAACATGGCAACACCCCATCTCTACTGAAAATACAACAATTAGCCAGGCTTGGTGGCAGGCGCCTGCAGCCCCAGCTACTCAGGAGGCTGAGACAGGAATTGCTTGAACCTGGGAGGTGGAGGTTGCAGTGAGCCAAGATCACATTACTGCACTCTAGCCTGGGCAACAGAGTAAGATTCCATCTCAAAAACAAACAAAAAAAACAAATCCAACAGCATATCAAAAAGATAATCCACCATGATCAAGTAGGTTTCATACAAGGAATGCAGAGATGGTTTAACAGACGTAAGTCAATAAATGTCATATATCATGTAAACAGAATTTAAAAGAAAAATCACGTGATCATCTCAGTAGACACAGAAAAAGTATTTGGCAAAATCCAGCATCCCTTTATGATTAAAACCCTCAGCAAAATCATCATAGAAGGGACATACCTTAAGGTAATAAAAGCCATCTATGACAAACCCACAGCCAACATTATACGGGGAGAAGTTGAAAACATTCCCTCTGAGAACTGGAACAAGACAAGGATGCCCACTTTCACCACTTCTATTCAACATAGTACTAGAAGTCCTAGCCAGAGCAATCAGACAAAAGAAAGAAAGGGCATACAAATTGGTAAAGAGAAAGTCAAACTGTCGCTGTTTGTGGATAGTATGATCATATATCTAGAAAACCCTAAAGACTCATCCAAAAAGCTCCTAGAACTGGCAAATCAATTCAACAAGGTTTCAGGATACAAAATTAATGTACACAAATCAGTAGCTCTGCTTTACACCAATAGCAATCAAGCTGAGAATCAAATTAAAAACTCAACCCCTTTTACAATAGCTGCAAAACAAACAACAACCAAAAAAACATAGGAATATACCTAACCAAGGAGATGGAAGACCTCTACAAGGAAAACTACAAAACACCACTGAAAGAAATCACAGATGACATAAACAAATGGAAACACATCCCATGCTCATGGATAACTAGAATCAATATTGTGAAAATGACCATATTGCCAAAAGCATCCACAAATTCAATGCAATTTCCATAAAAATACCAGCATTATTCTTCACAGAACTAGAAAAACTAATTTTAAAACTCATATGGAACCAAAAAAGAGCCTGCATAGCCAAAGCAAGACTAAGCAAAAAGAACAAATCTGGAGACATCACATTACCTGACTTCAAACTATTCTACAAGGCCATAGTCACCAAAACAGCATGATACTGGTATAAAAATAGGCACATAGATCAATGGAACAGAATAGAGAACCCAGAAATAAACCCAAATACTTACAGCCAACTGATCTCTGACAAAGCAAATGAAAACATAAAGTGAAGAAAGGACATCCTTTTCAACAAGTGGTGCTGGGATAATTGGCAAGCCACATGTAAAAGAATGAAGCTAGAACCTCATCTCTCACCTTAACAAAAATCAAATCAAGATGGATCAAAGGCTTAAATCTAAGACCTGAAGCCATACAAATTCTAGAATAACCATAAAAATTCTGGAAAAACCCTTCTAGACATTGGCTTAGGCAATGACTTCATGACAAGAACCCAAAGTTATTTTTAAGCCACAAAATTTAAGTTCCTGAGGGAGATGTTCCATTATTGAGCACGTAAGTTATATAGAGGTGGGGGTGATTTCAGAAATGTTTGGAACCTGTTGTCTGAAGCAGCCAGTGAAACCCAGAAAAATTCTTAATTGTCTCTTAGTAACCAGCCTTGGAAAGTATTGAATCGTTTATAATTCATCAGGAGTGATACATTTACCCCCTTGAGATTAATCATACCGTAAATAATGTGCTTTGTTCTGACAAACTTCTAAACTTTTTTTGGAATTTTCACGACCTTGCTAAAAGAGTAAGTTGATAAATGGAATCAGTCTTACAACTCTCCACATCTTTAGAACGTCGAAAAAACTTGTCCCCATATTATGCAAGTGTAGTGTTACAAGGAAATTTAATATCCTTGAGGTTCCTCAGTAAATCCCTGACGCATCACTATCCAGGTAAATTTTTGACTTTCCCAGGAAAAAACAAATAGGTGTTGACTATCTTGATCTAAAGGGACAGTATAGAAAGCACAACACGTATCTATAGTGGTTAAAAAAAAAAAAAAAGTAACTTCGAGTAGCACTGAAGATAACATAGTACTTGGGCTCAGTAATACAAAGAAGTGGGTAAAATGTTTATTTTATTTATGGTCTTAAGGTCTTGAACAAATCTTTATCCTCATTCACTGGGTTTTTTGACTGGGAAACAACAGTGTTTAAAGACTGACTCATTTTTACTGTGACTATTTTTATACCAGTCATACTTCATAAGGTATGACTCATCTTTTCTCTATTAGGCCTTTGGACTATTGGCTTTAGTTCTTCTTTAGCATCTGGTTTTAGAGGTATTTTGTAAACTTAGGTAGAGGTTTAGATGGGTGGATCTGAACCTTACTGCCAATATCAGTAAAACTTTTTTCCCACAAAGTGCTACTTCATGGAGATCTTCAATTTGGTTTGATCATACATAAAGTTACCAGTAAGTCAACATCTAAATTAGCTACGATCTGATTATGAACAGGAAAGTCATCAGGGATCTGAGGGAAAAGAAAAGGAAAATAAAAAACAGGAGAGAACTTAATTTTGCAATTCTGTTTACATAATAGATCCCTATCTTTTAATTTGATGGGCATGATGTTGTAAAGGAAAATAATATTTCTCATTTGGGGAACCGAGGTTGGCAGTTAACAGGCTGAAACAGGGAGAATATCTGTGGATTATTTGAGATACCCCTATCTGTGTAGCTCATTGGCTTCAAGAGAGAGGTTACTTTTAATATTTAGAGAAATTTCTCTTTGCAAGTTTGAGAATAAAATGAGAAGTTGAATACACGATTTCTCCCCATAGCAGTGTCATTGATTTGCCCACTGATTATTTTCCTTTATTTTCTTAGCTAGACCATGACAATTATTTTTCTAATGTACTTTCTGCGTATAAGTACTTATACGTGTCTTTACCAAGAGGCACTCTCCTCTAGTGCTTGATGACCGCAGTGGGAACATTTAGTTATTTTATTTGTGAAGCCATTAGTTTATTTTATTTGTGTTCTAAGCCTTTTTTTTGAAGATGTAGATTTGGAGATCTAGTAGTAGAGCTATTTCCCATTACAAATTTGTTACATATTAAATTCCCTGGTTCTGTATTTAAGGCTATTCACAAAAATTGAGGAAAGAGCTGGAAGTCAACAGCTTCAGAATCTACTCCTCAAGGAACCTATCCCTGAAGTCTCCAGTGGACTCATTCTTTCCTTCCTTCCTTGCAGGTGTGGTTAGAGTCACCTTTATTTTCACAGGAAGAACTTTGGGGATAGCCCCTGAAAGATTTAGTCAAACATCTACAGTTTTTCTAAATCTGCCTGGTTTCCTAAATGGTTTGAGACTTCCTAAGTCATTCTTGTGATGTTCTCACTTTGCCTTTTTCATTCTTTTTTTTTTTTTTCAGCTGATATAGATCTGGGTACAGACAGTATTATTTTTTAAAATTAGCTATGGGAATTAAAATATTTTTGATTACTAACTGCAGAAAAACAAAGTTGTATGAGAATAAAAATGTAATCATGGCATACCATGTGGCTCAATATTGCATAATAATTACATAGTCATAACAGTGTAAATGCTGACTATCAATTTAAGCCAATTTTGATATAACTCTGTTGGAAGAATAGAGGAGGAGCTGTGGGATAATAGCTGTATGAGAAAGTTAAACTTCCAACTATCATAATAGTGTCACAGGATCGTTTGGGTGTCACTTCACAAGCCAGAAAGCTCTGTGGCTGGCAGTGCCTCTGCTTGAGTTTTGCTCGCACCCGCTGGACTTGTTCCATTCACTTGACCTGGCGGGCTGCACTCGGCTTGCGATACTGGCCCAGATCCCATGCCTGCCAAGAGCAAGCCAGGCACACAGTGACGAGGGGTGTGTGAGCGAGTGAGCGTGGGGTCCGGCTGCTGCACACAGCCAAGCATGCTGGCTGCTGCGGCAGGGCAGCCAGCTCTGTGTGAGGCTGTGACTGGAGCAGACGTACTGCAAGTGGCTTCCACTGCAGGCACCAGTGTCTGGATGAGGGGAATGTGGTGGTGCCCAGAAGCTTGGAGATGCTAGGAACCACAGAGCCCAAAAGAGGGTGTTACCACTACTCACAGCTCTCACTTGGGGAGCCCTGAGGTCTGGGCTTGCAGAAGGGCTCCAGCTCTTCTCTTCCTCTAGTCACCTGCAGTGTGGCAAGCAGTGTGGTGTATTTTAGCCTGTTTGTGTTACAGCTATTTCAGTCCTGCTGCCCTGCTTCAGCCCGCGGCTCCTGGGCTGGCCTAGCCCCACTGCTGTTTCCCGTTGAATGGTGCGGCCACCCAGCACTGGCAGAGGCTGGGAGAGCTATAGCGTTACAGCCCCTTTAGCTCCCACCTGCAGCTTGGCAAGCCCACCAGGAAAGTGTTACAGCTTCTTTTGCTCCTGCCATCTGGTGGGTTCTGAGTTCTTGTCCCATGTCCAGGAAGAATGAGGTTACACTGACAACTGGAGGGTTAGCAAGGCAGAGAAGAGCTTCACTGGGTGACCAAACAGCTCTCAGTGGAGAGGAGACCTGAAGTGGGCAGCTCCTTTCTGCAGGCAGGTAGTGCAGATGAGTGTCTGAGTCTGGCTGAGTCCAGGGTTTTTATTGCCTCAGAGTGGAGGAAGTGTGTGTTTATTGGCCCATGGGTGGGCCCAGAAAATACCACTTGATTGGCCAAAGGGATCAAGGAAGTTCTCACTCCTCTGCCACCACTTCATCCAAAACTGACAGCCCTGGTCCCCAGGCTTCAGGCTATCCCTGGCTTGAAGGTGGGTTTTCACTAGGGACATCCCTTCCTGCCAGGAGCACCTCCTGTCACCATCAACATGCTGTCTGTAGTGCCCAGGCTGTCCATCCCAAGGGGCACCTGTGGGCCCGCGCTGAGCCACCCTCAGCCCTCTGGCCTCCCTCCTGTGCTCATTGGTGCCCTAAGTTTCACCTTCAGAAGCAGCTTCCAGAGGGGGCCAAGGCAGCCAGGGTCTGGCATGTCAGCGCTGCCCCGAGTGTGCGCATACTTGTCCTGGTTGCGACATTGCCCAGGCTTGGCTATCAGGACATGTCCACAACTTTGCTCCACAGTGGAGCAGACATGGAGAGCAGGGAGAGGTCAGGGAGTGGAAACAGGTACTTTAAGCTTCAGCTTCAAGGGGGCTTCCCCTACCTGCCCGCCACCACACAGAGAATGCAGAGTGCAGGGATACCTGGGTTTAGAGCTGTGGCTGGGCAGCTGTAGCTGCACCTGGGAGCACGGGCTCCTGCCCCGCCAACTTAGTAGGGCACAGGGCTCCTGCTGGGATCACCTGTTCCCAGCCCCCACTGACTTTGCAGAGCCGTAGCCTTGGCCGCAACCTCCCTTGCTGCAGCTGGCATCCTCACAGTGGTGGCACCAGATGGGCCACTGTTCTCATCAATAACAGGTCACAAGATAAACTTTTAAAATTGCTAACTCAATGTATTATTTAGAAATCTGGAGCAAACAACAGAAAAATTTGAAAGTGGTTGCCACTTTTAGACTTAATTTTTAAATGATGAGAATTATTAACTTTGATAAAAATAGAAGAAGAATGTTAAAGTCATCTAGAATAGAAAGAACAGAACGTGCAACTTCCACCAAAAAGGTGGGAGAAGGAGAAAAAAAGAAATGGAATCATATGTAGATTTTTTTCCAGAAATTCTCTTGTGGTAGTTTTGGTTTGTGAAAAATTATTCCAGGGAACTTAAAGGTGTATATGTTGCCAGGTAAGCATTTCTGCTTAGATGATAAAACTGGTTTTTGTTGTTGTTGTTGTTGTCATTGTTTTTGAAACTCTAACAGTCTGCTTGTATACTAGGACTGTTAATTTGTTAATTTTAATTACTTTTGGTTAAAAGATATTTTTCTTGAAGAAAGATTTGGAGCAAATAATATCCAAAGTTTAAAAGTTTTAGAAGCAATGTTTTTTTTTTTCATGAAAAAAGCAACAGGAAGCAAAAATTTTTATATGATGATTCTATGACAATTAAAAAATTATAAAATTGGGCTGGGTACAGTGGCTCATGCCTGTAATCCTAGCATTTTGGGAGGCCGAAGTGGTGGGTCGCTTGAGTCCAGGAGTTTGAGACTAGCCTGGGCAACATGGCAAAACCCTGTCTTTACAAAAAGTGCAAAAATTAGCTGGGCATGGTGGCAGACATCTGTAATCCCAGCTACTGGAGAGGCTGAGGCAGGAGAATCACCTGAGCCCGGGAAGGTTGAGGCTGCAGTGTGCTGTGATTGTGCCACTGCATTCCAGCCTGGGCAACAGAGTGAGACCCTGTCTCAAAAAATAATCATAAAATTGGTTTAAAGTTGCATTCCAGGAACACAAAATAATATATGTAGAAGGTATGGTTGACTTTAAATTGTGAACCTAGTTAAGATTTAAAGCTGAAAGAGAGTTGCTAGAATTTGTGTTTTAACTTGTCATAATTTTTAAAACAGGAAACTCTTCAGAATCAAAAGGAAACATTGGCAGAGCAACACAAGGAAGCAATGGCAGTTTTTAAAAAGCAGGTAATTTCATAAGGATAGACAAACACTACCATTTTAAATATTGCATTTCCTCCCCCTCCTATGAATATTATGGCAAGCTGTTCTCCATAGTCACCAAAGACAAAAAGGAGAACAAGGTATTATGGGAAGTAGGAAATGAATAAAATCATTTTTAATCACAACTGACAATAGAATGTAAAGTAGTAGCATAAATTTGTTGAGGGAAATTGGGAAAACTATTTTCTTGGAGATGGAAATATATTTTCATCTGTCCTGAATAATTTAGGTGAATGGGATGTGTGTGTTATTGTTCTTTCTCTCCCCTTTCCTTTCTTTTATTAGAACTTCCTAGGCTCTTGCCTCTTCCATAGTACCGCTTTACCCAAGTAGAGTTATAATGTTATGATCAAAATCTGAGATGCAAGTAGGGAGATGACAAGGATTAGAAGAGATGATTATTATGCACTGTAGCCTCCATAAATATCAATCATCAGTAACTAAGAAATAGTAGTACAAAAATGAGAAAAAAAATCAAATGAATCCTTGTACATACCTTCAGCTCATTTCAATTCTGTAGCTTTTCTTGACTAAAATTTCTCTTCAGTTCCTACCAAGAGAATATTATAACAGTTTGAGAAAATGTGCTCATGTAAAATATCCTCTGAAAGTTTCCTTATCTCTATCTCACATCATTATTTTTTCTTCCTTTTTCCTTTCCTATTTTTATCTTCATCTTTATAATACAAGTGTGTGTAGATGTGTTAATTTTTTTAAGCAAATGACAGACTTTCTTCCTTTAATCTGAGATAGGCCTAACCAAGGTTATGGGAGTTTTAACTGAAGGTTAAGGAAGCAAAAGCCAAAAGTGTAGCATAGTATTCTCTAGGAAAGAGCAAGTCCACATCTCTGCTGTCACAAAGGACTTTGGGCAAGATAAGGATACTCAGATATCTGAAGGGTAGAGGAGAAAGTGCTCTTGGGTTCTTTGTTTTTTTCTTTGTGTGTGTGTGTGCTTTTTAAAAGAAGGGGATCTTGAATGTGAGGAGTGTGAAAAAGGAAATAGGGAAGTTCCAAAGAAAAATTTCATTTCTTGAAAATTTTGCCTAATACCCTTGTGTTCCTTAGAATATTTCATAATTTTCCTTTGGTGTGTGTACTTTAGTTTTTCTGTTTTAAAATGTCATTATTTTTATTTATTTATTTATTTAGAGATAGTCTTGCCCTGTAGCCCAGGCTGGAGTGCAGTAGCGTGATCTCAGCTCACTGCAATCTCCAACTCCAGGGCTCAAACGATCCTCCCGCCTCCCAAGTAGCTGGGACTACAGGTGCTTAAAAAAATTTTTTTTTAAAAGTTTTTTGTCAAGGAAGTCTTACTACATTGCCCAGGCTGGTCTCAAACTCTTGGGCTCAAGCAATTCTCTTGCCTCAGCTTCCCAAAGTATTGGGATTACAGGCATGAACTACCATGCCTGGCCTTTAAAATGTCATTATTTTTTTAAACAGGTCATAATTTGTTAGGCTGCACATGAGTTAAAAAAATTCTTGAACATAAATACTGTCAATGATAATACAAATGATTCTGATTTACGAAATTGTACCTTTGGAAAATGATATAAGCTGTGATTTAGGAGTGGATGGCAAAATATTCAGATATTTAAGAAAAATTTCTGGAGGAAAAAAACAAAACTTTCAAAGATAATTGGTATCTCTAATCAGTGTGATTAAATTGCTAATTTTGAACTGGGTGTGGTGGTGTGTGCTCTAGTCTCAGCTACTTGGGAGACCGAGGTGGGAAGATCCCTTGAGCCCTGGAGTTGGAGTATAGCCTGGGCAACATAGCAAGACCTCATCTCAAATAAATAAATAAATAGTTCATTTACTTTAGTGACTGGCTTTTTTCTCGTTTTATATCATTATTATTTATTTTCTGAATCTGAAAATAACATATTCACATTATTTCCATTTCAAACAATATAGATGTGTAAAGTGTTTCTTTAGTCTCAGTGACCAGTATAGATCACTGTTAACAGTGATCCCTTTATTTTAATTTTTAAAATTGTTTATCAGTTGCAGATGAAGATGTGTGCCCTGGAAGAAGAAAAGGTATTTATAATTTTTTTAAAATTTTCTGTCTATTAAAAAGTATTTACTTTTACAAAATAATTTAAAACATAGCTAGATGCCTTTTATTATCCATTGTTTACCATAAGAGAAAAGAGCATTAGTAACAAACTAATAGAGATGGTTAACTGCTTAAAATCTTAGAAAGGACCCAAGATAATCATGTTACTTCACTTCCATCATTTACAGTTCAGAATATAGAGGCCTAACAAGATTAAATGACTTGCCAAAGGTCTCACTTTGAAGTGGCAAAATTGGGACTAGAACCCAGATCTCTTCAGGCCCCAAATTAATGTTCTTCCCATTCCACTGCAGTGTTTCTATTAACCATGATGTTTTTAGTGCTTTTTCAATGGAACTACTGTCTTTAAAAAATATGGAAATGACTTGCAACTGGGTGCAGACCAACTGGCAAAGGGGATAAAGCTCCAACAAACCTAGAAATTTATCTGACGCTAAATATTTTCTCTAGCTATTTAATAGTTAATACATTTTTTATTATATCAATGAACATACCATTAATAATAATCACTTATGGTTTATTTTTAGCCAAAGGTCTTCTGTAAAAAATTCTCCCATATTTTTATATTCATTAGATAAATACCACCTGTATCTTATTAATTAGAATATATTTATTCTAGTTGTATGAATTAAATAATTATAAAGTGTCTGCAAGTTCTCAGGTAGGATGCTCTACTGATAAAATGATTTGTCATTATAATAAGACATTCTATTTCATGATAATTGTAACCATATAAAGGCCTTATTATAATTTTATATTTTGAAATCTTTAGAAATGTAATTTGTAGTACAGATGGAAGGTTAAAGCCTGTGAAATATTTGGTTTAAAGTAGAGATTTTGGTTCTTTTTATATATATATATATATATATATTTTTTAATCTAAGTTCTAGGGTACATGTGCACAACGTGCAGGTTTGTTACATATATATACATGTGCCATGTTGGTGTGCTGCACCCATTAACTCGTCATTAACATTAGGTATATCTCCTAATGCTAACCCTCTCCGCTCCCCCCACCCCACAACAGGCCCCGGTGTGTGATGTTCCCCTTCTGTGTCCAAGTGGTCTCATTGTTCAGTTCCCACCTATGAGTAAGAACATGTGGTGTTTGGTTTTTTGTCCTTGTGATAGTTTGCTGAGAATGATGGTTTCCAGCTTCATCCATGTCCCTACAAAGGACATGAACTCATCCTTTTTTTATGGCTGCATAGTATTCCATGGTGTATATGTGCCACATTTTCTTAATCCAGTCTATCATTGAGATTTTGGTTCTTGAGCTCTTATATTTTACCCTTTGTATTATTATTTACATTAGAAAGTATTGAAATACAGTTTTTTACTTAAAGGGTTCTTGAGCTCTTATATTTTACCCTTTGTATTATTATTTACATTGGAAAGTATTGAAATACAGTTTTTTACTTAAAGGGAAAATATCAACTTGCTACAGAAATAAAGGAAAAAGAAATAGAAGGATTGAAGGAAACATTAAAAGCACTACAGGTAAAAATAACTACGTATTGTTTAAAAAGTAGTTTGGTATTTTAGCATTATATCAGTAAAATGCCTTTAGATATGTAAGCTACAAAGCAAAGCTGACAAAAGTTTATATCTAATATATTACATAATTTAATACTTTTTCCTGAGAGCCTTGTTTTAAATTTAGTTTTGCTTTACCATATTTTATTTTAAAAAGAAATATTAAAATAATTTTTAGTATATCTTATTAATATAGTTAAATAGATACATTTTTAACATTTTACACATAAGGAAAATGAGTAAGGCATATATATTGTGACTGATTTACCCATGGTCCTTAAAAATTAAAATAGCATTGAATTTTTGCTATGTGCTAAGTACTGTGCTTATTTTCTGCAAATACAAAAACTAAGAAAACATTACCTTTGCCCTTAAGTTGTTCGTAGTCTCTTAGAGAATACAGAAGTATTTAACTAATGATGATTCATTCAATATATATTGAGGGTCTACTATGTGCAAACACTTTTCTCAGCATTGAGGATACAGCAATGATAAACAAGACAAAAATCTCTGCCCTTGTGAAGCTTAGTCTAGTGGGGAAGACAAAAAGTAAAATGAAGTAACTAGTGAAATAATGATTGTTGGGAAGACGATATTCATGCCATTTCAAACAGATAACATTAATTACAAAGAGCAAAATATATTTTTACATTAGAAGGATCCTGAAGGTCACCACTTCAATCAAGTGATCGAGTCTAGCAATGTTAATAATGAAACAGCTTTTCCATGGATCCACTGTTATTATGCAATAAGGAGGACCGAACTTCACCTATGTAATTTTCTTGCCAAAAATATTTGAAATCTAATTATGATAAAAACAATTAGACACAATCACAATGTGTGGCACATTCTATAAGACATCTAGGCTGGACTCAAAAAAACTTCAGTGTTGGCTGGGCGTGGTGGCTCATGCCTGTAATCCTAGCACTTTGGGAGGCCGAGGCGGGTGGATCACGAGGTCAGGAGATCGAGACCATCCTGGCTAACACGGTGAAACCCCGTCTCTACTAAAAATACAAAAAATTAGCTGGGCGTGGTGGCGGGCGCCTGTAGTCCCAGCTACTCGGGAGGCTGAGGCAGGAGAATGGCGTGAACCCGGGAGGCGCAGCTTGCAGTGAGCTGAGATATCACCACTGCACTCCAGCCTGGGCGACAGAGTGAGACTCCGTCTCAAAAAAAAAAAAAAAAAAAAAAAAAAAAAAATTCAGTGTTAGACAAAGAAACAACAGACACTGGGGCCTACTTGAGCGTGGAGGATGGGAGGAAGGTGAGGATCAAAAAAGGACCTATTGGGTTCTGTGCTTATTACCTGGGTGATGAAATCATCTGTACAACCAACCCCCGTGACACGCAATTTACCTATATAACAGACCTGCATATGTACCCCTGAACCTAAAAGTTAAAACCAAAACAAAAAAAACTTCAGTGTCATGAAAAAAGAAAGGGGAGCTACTTTTGATTAAAATAATAAAGATAGACCAAGGTAGCAGATCACTCAAAGTCAGGAGTTGGAGACCAGCCTGGCCAACATGGTGAAACCCCGTCTCTACTAAAAATACAAAAATTAGCCACGCATGGTGGCAGGCGCCTCTAGTCCCAGCTGCTCAGGAGGCTGAGGCAGGAGAATCGCTTAAATCTGGGAGGCAGAGGTTGCAGTGAGCGGAGATTACGTCACTGTACTCCAGCCTGGGTGACAGAGCAAGACTCCATCTCAAAAAAAAAAAAAAAAAAAAGAATAAAGAGATATAACAACCAAGTGCTGTAATATGTGAACTTTCATTGGATCCTGGGTCAAGAATAAAACCAGCCATAAAAAATTGGAGAGGACAATTGGGATATTTGAATATGACCATATATTAGCTTATGTTATTGAATTATTATACTAGGTATAATAATATCATAGGTATAATATTATGATCATATAAAAGAAAGTTCTTATTCTTAGAAAATGTATGATGAAGTATTTAGGGTGAAATCACCTATTAGCTGCAACTTACTTTCAGATAGTTCAGAAAAAACAAAAAGTATGTGTATGTATAAACACAAAGGAAAGTATGGAAAAATGTTAACATACATCCTAAGCTAGGTGTGGTGGCTCACGCTTGTAGTCCCAGCACTTTGGGAGGCTGAGACTGGAGGATTGTGTAAACCCATGAGTTCGAGACCAGCCTGGGCAACATAGGGAGATCCTGTCTCTATAAAAAACTGAAAAAAAAAATTAGCTGGGTGTGGTGGTGAGCACCTGTAGTCTTAGCTACTCAGGAGGCTGAGGTGGAAGAATTGCTTGAGCCCACAAGGTCGAGGCTGCTGTGAGCCATGATCAGGCCACTACACTGTTTCAAAAAAAAAAAAAAAATCCTTGTGTTTTTTATCAACAAAAAAGTAGTGATCAGAAACTCTAGGGAAAACATAACTGTATGAGAAAGATATAAAGCAAGTTAAAATTTGGGATGGTTCTGAGCAATTGATGGAGTGTAAGAAGAGAAGAGGCCGGGCATGGTGGCTCATGCCTGTAATCCCAGCATTTTGGGCGGATGGATTGCTTGAGCCCAGGAGTTCAAGACCAGCCTGGGCAACGTGGCAAAACCGCGTCTGTACAAAAAAAATATATATGCAAAAATTAGCCAGATATGGTGGTGCACGCCTGTAGCTCCAGGCTACACAGGAGGCTGAGGTAGGAGAATCACTTGAACCCAGAAGGTTGAGGCTGCATTGAGCTGTGATTGTGCCACTGCACTCCAGCCTGGGTAACAGATTGAGACCCTGTCTCAAAAAAAAGATATTTAGGTCTTGACCATAATTAAAAAAAAGAAGATACTTAGGTCCTGATCATAATAAAATAGTTATTCAAGTAGCACACTGGACCTATATAGAAGGAAATGTTGTATTAGTACCCTGTTAGACTCATGCATTAAATGATACCTATATTGATTGTAATAATGTAAACACTGTTGGTTTCCATTTTTAGAATTAACCTATAAATGAAGCATGGAAAACTTAATTATGGTTACCAAATAAGACTTAAAATGTTATTAAGTTTGTTAATACAAAAATAATGATGTAGCAAGAAGTTGAGGTTGATAATCCAGCAATAATCTTTCAAGCTGATGAAACAAGAAATAAAGGTCCAAGTTTACTATTTGAAGTTTACATAGGTATAAAATTTAGTGATTCTAACCATACCTCACATATCCAGGTTAAAATGATACTAGTAGCTAAACATTTTTTCTTACGATTTGGAAAAATTAAAAATAAAATTTTATAATTGAGAAAACAGAAATGACCATTGTAGCTCATGTAAAAACTCCTCTGTTTTCTTTTCATTTTTTCAAGTTTCAATTTTCTTATGTTTTTAAATCTAGGACTAGTTAAAAAAAAACAAAAACAAAAAAAAAACTTAAACGCTTACTTCAGCCCAGGGTCTTTTTTTTTTTTTTTTTACAACCAAACTAAAAATTACTACATGGGAACATCAATGCAACAAACAACGAAAATTTTTAAACTGAAGCCACACACTTATAGTTAATAATCACGGTAAGGGACATTGCCAAAGAGCAACTGATGCCTCAGTGAAGTTTGAAAGAAACTCTACCTACTGTGAAGGCAGAGAAGAAAGAGGCAATCAATTCTGCTTCAAAGAAATCTGCATAGAAATGGAAAATGCTAACGTCTTTACCACAAGTGAAACTGCAAAGCCTCAACACATTCAACTCACTCCACAGAGCACCAAATGTTAAATTGGAGCCAAGGTAGGATTGAACATTTAATTTCCAGCTATGCAACTTGCCAAGCACAACAGTTCAGGTGTGGAAACCAGCTGTAGGCAAGCTCTTTTTTTTTTTTTTTGAGATGGAGTCTCACTGTGTTGCCCAGGCTGGAGTGCAGTGGCGCGATCTCGGCTCATTGCAACTTCTACCTCCTGGGTTCAAGCGATTCTCCTGCCTCACCCTCCTGTGTAGCTGGGATTACAGGCGCATGCCACCATGCCAAGCTAATTTTTGTATTTTTAGGAGAGACGGGGTTTTGCCACGTTGGCCAGGCTGGTCTTGAACTCCTAACCTCTAGTGATCCACCCACCTTGGCTTCCCAAAGTGCTGGGATTACAGGCGTGAGCCACCACACCCGGACAGCAAGCTCTTTTAAAAACATTATACACCATAAATTCTAAAACAGAACACTTCTGTGTTACTGTTTGAGTTTCAGAAGGGTACCACAAGGCATCAGGGTCTTTGAAAGTCACTTACGGCAACAGTTGCATCTTCCCAGCCTTGGTAGCCCCCTTTCACGGTTCTCTAGCCTCTGGACACACTGCGGCACACCACTTTGTAGAATGACTTCTGACATTAAATCCAGTCATGGCCTTAGTGACATGAGGCACCTAATTTTTTTTTACAGTCTCTTGAACTGGACATACTTATATCTTTTGCCTAATTTTTTTTCTTGGTGTATCTTGAAAAATACTACATTTTTTTCCTACTAAAAGGTTGTCAGTAAGAGAATTTGTTCATCTTGCTTAAGTACTTTGTTCTTTTAACATTCCTTCTTAAATTGTTTTGTTGTCATTCATACGTATTTAATTATCTGGACAATATAGAAAGTATATTTTTAATTGTTTTTTTAATTATACTTTAAGTTCTAAGGTACATGTGCACAATGTGCAGGTTTGTTACACAGGTAAACGTGTGCCACATTGGTTTGCTGCACCCATTAACTCATCATGTAAATTGGGTATTTCTCCTAATGCTATTCCTCCCCCAGGAAGGAAGAGCATGGAATGTTCTTCCATTTGTTTGTGTCCTCTTTTATTTCGTTGAACAGTGGTTTGTAGTTCTCCTGGAAGAGGTCCTTCACATCCCTTGTAAATTGGATTCCTAGGTATTTTATTGTCTTTTGTAGCAATTGTGAATGGGAGTTCACTCATGATTTGGCTCTCTGTTTGTCTGTTATTGGTGTATAGGAATGCTTGTGATTTTTGCACATTGATTTTGTATCCTGAGACTTTGCTGAAGTTGCTTATCAGCTTAAGGAGATTTTGGGCTGAGACGATGGGGTTTTCTAAGTACACAATCATGTCATCTGGAAACAGGGACAATTTGACTTCCTCTTTTCCTAATTGAATACCCTTTATTTCTTTCTCTTGCCTGATTGCCCTGGCCAGAACTTCTAACACTATGTTGAATAGGAATGGTGAAAGAGGGCATCCCTGTCTTGTGCCAGTTTTCAAAGGGAATGCTTCCAGTTTTTGCCCATTCAGTATGATATTGGCTGTGGGTTTGTCATAAATAGCTTTTATTATTTTGAGATGCGTTCCATCAATACCTAGTTTATTGAGAGTTTTTAGCATGAAGGGCTGTTGAATTTTGTCACAGGCCTTTTCTGCATCTATTGAGATAATCATGTGGTTTTTGTCATTGGTTCTGTTTATGTGATGGATTACGTTTATTGATTTGCATATGTTGAACCAGCCTTGCATCCCAGGGATGAAGCCGACTTGTTCGTGGTGGATAGCTTTTTGATGTGCTGCTGGATTTGGTTTGCCAGTATTTTATTGAGGATTTTTGCATCGATGTTCATCAGGGATATTCGTCTAAAATTCCCTCTTTTTGTTGTGTCTTTGCCAGGCTTTGGTATCAGGATGATGCTGGCCTCATAAAATGAGTTAGGGATGATTCCCTATAGAGAGTATTTTCAAAGCAAAAGAAATTCCTTCATATGGCTGACTTTCTATGCAAGAGGCATAAGGATTTATTTTGCCTTATTCAACCCAGAACATAGTACAGGTAGATGTATAGGATACCTCATGGTCTGCTGAACATGATACATGAATAGAGTAGAGCAATGAAGATACTTGTGATTTCTCCCAACCCCCCAAGTTGAAACTTAAATAAAATTTCTGTTCAGTTAAGGATCTGATATAAATCCACTAGGCAAGGAAACCTGTTAACCACCGTGTAGCAACTTCCCTCCCTCCTTTAGTTTGCTAGTTACTTACTTCTCTTTCTCCCTTTTTCCTTTCATAAGATCATACTCTGGTATGTGCTAGGCACAGGAATAAGAAACCAGATAGTGCCCTCTCTTATGGAGCTCATAGTCAAGAGACTCTACTTACTGAATTCCAACACAGAACACAAAAACCATATTCCAAAAAGACCAACTAATTTAGCTTTAGTGAATTCTTTCAATGTGTTCCATTTCTATTTAAACATAGTACCTTGTTAGTTCATTTCAAAGGGATGGGCTTGGAGCAGGGCAACCTTCTTACATCTAAATTACCTGACAAATAAAACTTTACTTATGAAAACAGTATGCTTAGAGGGCTTAATAAAGATACTTTGCTGATTGTCCTGTAGATTTTAAGTAAACTATTTCTATTAATGACTTATTACATAGTCCTGTGGTAAGACGCTTTCTTTCTCAGCTTCAGTTTTCCTTTAGGTAAAATGAAGAAATTGAATTCCATTAGTATTTCCCAAACAAGACCATTTTGTAAAACAGTGTCTGCATTCTCTACCCTGGATAATAGAAGTGAGGAAGTGGAGGAGAGAGTTTCATTCACGCTCTCAGAAGAGGCATGAATAAAGAGAGGATAGGTAGATGTCGTAAAACCCAGATTGGGAGTAATGGGATAGATGATCTCTAAGATGTTCAGCTCCAAAGCTCTATTTTATTACTTTATTTCATTAAATTTAAACTTACTTAATTTTATATATTATATTAATTCCTCTTATAGAACCAAAGCGATATTTAATATATAACATGTTATTTCTAGTTTTGAAGCCTAATTTTATTAGGCCATACCTAATCACATGGACAAAAGGAAATTAGATTTCTGGAGCTTTGAGTTTATACATTTATGCATGAGGAATTCTTAGATATTTGGGTAATTTTATAGTCTGGAGAAAGATAGAAGGAAATGTAATAAAAAAGCAAAGTTCTGAAAGTTGAGAAGGTGAAAAATGCATCCTTCTCAACAAATGGTGCAGGAACAGCTAGATATCCATATGAAAAAAATGAATCTAGACACAGATTTACACAAAATTTAACTCAAAATGGATCACAGACCAAAATGTAAAACACAAAGCTAAAAAACTCCTAGAAGAAAACGTAGGAGAAAATCTAGATGACCATGGGTTTGCTGATGGCTTTTTTTTTTTTTTTTTTTTTTGTGAGACGGAGTCTTGCTCTGTTGCCCAGGCTGGAGTGCAGTGGCGCTATCTTGGCTCACTGCAAGCTCCACCTCCTGGGTTCACGCCATTCTCCTGCCTCAGCCTCCCAAGTAGCTGGGACTACAGGCACCTGCCACCACGCCCAGCTAATTTTTTGTATTTTTAGTAGAGACAGGGTTTCACCATGTTAGCCAGGATGGTCTCCATCTCCTAACCTCGTGATCCGCCCACCTCGGCCTCCCAAAGTGCTAGGATTACAGGCGTGAGCCACTGTGCCCGGCTGACTTTTTTGATACAACACGAAAAGCATGATTTCTGAAAGAGTTAATAAGCTGGACTTCATTAAAATTAAAAACTTTAGCTACTCTGTGGCTTGTCAAGAGAATGAAAAGACAAGCCACAGAGTAGGAGAAAACATTTGCAAAAGACACCTCTGACAAAGGACGGCTATCCAAAATAACAAAGACCTCTTAAAACTGAACAATAAGAAAACAATCTGATTTTAAAATGGGCCAAAGATCTTAACAGACATCTCACCAAAGAAGATATACATACAGATGGCATATAAGTTTATGAAAAGATGTGCCACATCATGTGTCATCAGGGAAATACAAATTAAAACAACAAAGATACACTACTCACCAACTATATGACATTCTGGGAAAGGCAAAATGATGGAGGCAGTAAAAAAATAAGTGGTTGAGGCCAGGCACAGTGGCTCACACCTGTAATCTCAGCACTTTGGGAGGCTGAGGCAGGCAGATCACCAGAGGTCAGGAGTTCGAGACCAGCCTGACCAACATGGTGAAACCCCATCTGTACTAAAAATACAAAAATTTGATGGGGTGTGGTGGCAGGTGCCTGTAGCCCCAACTACTTGGGAGGCTGAGGCAGGAGAATCGCTTGAAGCTGGGAGGTGGAGGTTGCAGTGAGCCGAGATCACACCATTGCACTCCAGCCTGGGGGACAAGAGTGAGACTGGTCTTGAAAAAAAAAAAAAAGTGGTTGCCAGGGGTTGAAGGAGGGAGAGATAAAAAGACAGAGTACAGAAGTTTTTTAGGGCAGTAAAAATACTCTGTATGATAGTCTAATGGTGGACACATGTCATATACTTGTCCAAACCCATAGAATGTACAATACCAAGAGTGAATTCCAATGTAAGCTGTGAACTTTGGGTGATAACGATGTCAGTGTAGGTTCATTAATTGTAACAAATGTACCTGTATTAGTCCATCCTCACATTGCTATAAAGAGCTACCTGAGACTGGGTAATTTATGAACAAAAGAGGTTTAATTAACTTACAGTTCTGCAGGCTGTATAGGAAGCTTGACTGGGAGGCCTCAGGAAACTTAAAATCATGGCGGGCGGGGAAGTAAGCATGTCTTACCATGGCAGAGCAGGAGACAGAGACTGCTAAGGGGGAAAGTGCTACACACTTTTAAACAACCAGATCTCATGAGAATTCCGTCATGAGGCAGCACTAGGGGGACGGTGCTAACCATTAGAAACTGCCCCCATTATCCAGTCACCTCCCACCAGGCCCCTCCTCCAACAACGTGGGGATTACAATTTGACATGAGATTTGGGTGGGGACACAGAGCCAAACCATATCAGTACCCCTCTGGTGGGGGATGTTAATAATTGGGGGTTATGTATGTGTGGGGCAGGGAGTATATGGTATATCTCTTTACCTTCCTCTGGATTTTGCTGTGAACCTAAATCTTCTCTAAAAAATTCTTTTAAAAATCATTCTCAGTCCTACAGCTTTCTAAATTGAATTACAATAATTTTTATTACTAAAATATTTGTGTGTTTTCTTTTCTTATAATTTAAGAGTTATTTTGTGACGTGAAAATTAATATATTTTTTGGGAACAATTTAAGTCATTATCACTTCAAGTATTACCTTCCCCAACGAGTCTTTATATTTTCTCCTTTCAAACTCCTAAGAAGATATATTTTGAATCTTCTCATTTATCCTCCATGTCTTTATACCTTATATACTTTCTATTTCTTTATGCCTGTGAGCATCTTATGTAATTTTCTTTCTTTTTGAGATGGAGTCTTGCTCTGTCATCCAGGCTGGAGTGCAGTGGCGCGATCTTGGTTCACTGCAAGCTCCGCCTCCCGGGTTCATGCCATTCTCCTGCCTCGGCCTCCTGAGCAGCTTGGACCACAGGCGCCCGCCACCACTCCCGGCTAATTTTTTGTATTTTTAGTAGAGACGGGGTTTCACCATGCTAGCCAGGATGGTCTCGATCTCCTGACCTTGTGATCTGCCCACCTCAGCCTCCCAAAGTGCTGGGATTACAGCCGTGAGTAATTTTCTTAGATATATCTTTTAGTTCACTAATTCTTCAACTATGTTTTATCTGCCATATAACTTATGTTTTAAGTTTTTTATTTATAATGACCTTTTTCTTTTATAGATGTTCTATTTGGTGCTTTTAAAAATCTGCCTTTTTCTAGTGTCTTATATTTTTTCATATTTCTTATTTATCTTTTATGTCTCTAATCATTAAAATATTTTTAATAATATCTTTGAGATTCTTCTGTTATTTTTAATTATTGGTGTGTACAAGTCTTCCTGTTTGCAGTGGCTACCAGCTAATGCTCCTTCATTGTAAATCTTCCTTTTTAATGTGGTTCATACATTTTAAATTGTGAGCCCCTCTTTAGTGGAGGCTGTATTTTTCTGATGAACTTGTGGAATTCTTCCTACAGAGCTCTTTTGCATTTGCTTCTGTTCTGAGCCTCAAGGGTTTCACAGAACAGTTTCTGGTTGTTACCTTAATTTATCATCTAGGATGTACATACCATGCAGGGAGTATATATTATTATTAGGACTTTATACCCTTTTGTACTCCAAGTTTAGGTTTTTCTGTTTCTCATGGAATAATTTTTGGTTTTGGACCAGTGATCTAGGCAAAGACATTTTTTTGTGTTGGTAGGTTAAGTTCTTCTAGTCTTCCTTTCTTGGAATTAGCTGTTCTTCTAGATTCCTTTCTCTATACCAGTGTGCTAGATCCCTTGGCTTTGTGCCCACATGGATATTAAAACCCTGACTTTGCCATGACAGCCTATATCTGTATGTAGGGGTTTCTGGATTACCAAAGCATCACCTTGCATACTTACAACTCTGACTATGGGTTTTCTGTCTTATTTTTGATGTCTGACAATTTCCTTATCTTTCTTTTGAACTTCAGCTGTATGTTAACTTTTTTTTATTGATGCTATATATTTTTCAAACATTTCATATTAGTTCATTCCACAATGTTTTTAAGAATCACTTAAGTTTTTTTCTTTTGAAAGTATCATAAACTTTTAGAGATATTGGAACTACAATACAAAGAACTTATTTTCCTGAATGATTTTAGAATAATTTGCCAAACTGATGCTCTATCATCTCATTACCATAGTATATCATTCTTACAATCAGGGACATTCTCCTGTAAAACCATAACACAGCAATCAAAATCAGGAAGTTAACATTGGTACATAACTGGAATGTTCAGGACTCATTCAGTTTCACAAATTGTCCCATTAAAGTATTTTTATAACAAAAGGATCTAGTTTAGAATCCTATGTTTGTATTTAGTTGTCATAGCTCTTTAATCTCTTTCAGTCTGGAAGACTTTCCTAGTCTTTGGTTGAATTTTATAACTTTGACACTCTTGAAGATTACAGACCATTATTTTGTAGAACGTTCCTCAGTTTCTGTTTGTACAATGTTTCCTCATGGTTAGATTCAGTTTATGTATCTCTGGAAGGAATATCACAGAGGTAATGCCATATTCTTCTTATTGAATCCTATCAGATAGTTCAATTTGTTTTATTATTGGCGATGTTCACTCTGATAATTTGACTGAGGTAGTATCTGACAAGTTTCTCCACTGTAAAGTTAATCTTTTCTCCTTTGTAATCAGCGTGTTTTGTGAAGAGAACTTTGAAACTATGTAAATATGTCATTTCTCACCAAACTTTTAATATATTTATTTATATCAATATAGACTCATAGTTTCCTGTTTTGTACAATGGATTAAAATATTTGACTATCATTTATTTTTATCAAATTATTCTTGGTTTGGCCAGTGGGAGTCCATTCAAGCTGGTTGCTGAGTATTTTTTGACATGTCTTCATCATTCTTTCAGCATTTTTCTGCTTTCAGATAAAAATAAAATGTACCAGGATCACCTCATACTTTACCTGATCTTGCCCTGGAAAAAACCATTTCTCCATGTTACCCTGGTTCCTGTTAGTAGAAAAAGGTATATAGAAACCAAGATCTGAGTGCTATTGCAATTATTGCTGTTGGAGTGTCATTGTTCTCACACCCCCTCAGTCGACAGAGCTAGGAAATATATGTATATATTTACATACATATACACATACACACATATACTTACAGTTATATGTATTTTTATATCAATCTATGTATGTATATTGAAAACCATTAATTTGCACTGCTGCAAATTACAATCCCAAACTACAAGGATTATTTTAGTTTATTTCCTTTATTTATACTTTTCTTATCTTTCAATGAGAAATCTGACTTTCATTATCACTAAGACGTTGACTTATTTCATAAAACACCCTGTTACATAACCAGTCCACCATTCTGCTGCCCCCTCTTTCCTTATGTGGATGTCCTCCTTTTCCTGCTTGGATTCTGACACCTTCAGCTGGGTTGCCCTTTTGCAGGGTCACCCTCCTCACCTTACTTAGTTTCTGACTCCCCACAGTAGACTGCCCTCCCTTACATGGGAAAATCCTCTTTTCTCCATTCAGGCCTGTTATTCTGTTCCGGAATGCTCTAGACACAACCCCCTCACCACTTCCTCACATACCTTATTGTACCTAACCTAATGGACTTCAGAGCTGAACTGTTTAAGAAGAGGAAGGGGTTAAATGTTTTAAGCACAGTATTTGGGGGACTTTATTCCCAACTAAAATAAATTCAATAAATGGAAAATTAATGGGAAAATAAGATTTTTTTCTCTAAAGCGGTGTGCTTTTCAGTCAGCTTTTCTTATAATTTTCCATAAAGTGAAGGATAACTATAATAGGAAAACATTTGCATTTTATTTTTGAAGCTGCCTTCTATAGTTAATGCATTAGCATCAGTATAGTTTTGTTCTGATATTAGAAGTATGCCTATATGTGATATTAACCAATTTTTAAATAATTAAAATATTAAATATAGCAACTATAAAAACACTACATGTCAATCCAATTATATTTTCAAATTCATCTATGTGTCAGAAATGCAGCTATGTGGGAGTTTATTAGTTGGGCAATGCTCTAGAGGTATTGATAAAATATAGCTGTGGATTGTAATTGAGAAAGAATAAAATGCAGAGATAATAAGGTGTGTGAAGAACGGTGGCCTGAAATAATGTGGTAAATTTGCTCTAGATGTAGTTTTATCTTTGACTGATGGTAGCAGATAATAAATTCAGGATTAGAGTAATACATTGTCTTCTGAATTTTGTCTTTTCATTTTTTTCCTCTTATTTTTCTAGATGACCTCAAAACATTTCCCTTTGCTTTTGTGCTGAATGCCTTAAAAAGTACTCTGATCTCATCCAGGCTCGTGTCTTTAAAATGGTATCTACATACAGAAGACTTCTAAATGTACATCTCCTAACCCCTAATCCATCCTACATTAACTATTTGCCATCTCTGCTTGGATCTCTAAAAGACACCTCAAACTTGACATGTTTAAAATTAAGTTTCTAAAATCCTGCCTCCTGAAAACTGGCTTATTTAATCTTTTCCATCCTTGTTAATGACAACTCTCTTTTTCCAGTTACTGGTTTTTTTTTTTTTTTTTTTTTTGGCTTTCCCTCAGAGTGTATCTAGCATCCAACCACTTCTTATTTCATCCACTACTAACACCCTAGTCCTCCTTCATCATCCTCTTTCATCTGGATTATTGCAGTAGCTTATTAAGTGGTTTCTCTTGCCACAAACTCTGTTCCCTTCTAATGTGAATGTAATAGAGTGAGTCTTTAAAAAGCTAAGTCAGGGCCTGGCGCGGTGGCTCACGCCTCTAATCCCAGCACTTTGGGAGGCTGAGGCAGGCAGATCACGAGGTCAAGAGATCGAGACCATCCTGGCTAACATGGTGAAACCCTGTCTCTACTAAAAATATAAAAATTAGCCAGGCGTGGTGGCACACACCTGTAGTCCCAGCTACTCGGGAGGCTGAGGCAGGAGAATTGCTTGAACCTGGGAGGCAGAGGTTGCAGTGAGCTGAGATCGCACCACTGCACTCCAACCTGGTGACAGAGCAAGACTCCATCTCAAAAAAAAAAAAAAAAAAAAAAGCTAAGTCAGGCTTTGTCACATTCGTCCTCAGAACTCTGTAGTGGCTTTCCATCTCATTAGTTGTAAAAACCAAATCCATATCACACATAACGAGGTCTACAATGATTTGGGTCCCCTTGCCTTCCCTTGCCCCTCTCTGAACTGCTCTTCTTCACCTTGCTTATTGTCTTTCAGCCACATGGACTTCCTTGCTATTCTTTAAACACACTAGGCCTTATTCCACATTAGGGAACTTGCTGAAATATTCTTTCTTACTTCTATCCAGGTCTTTACTCAGAATTTGCTATCTCAGAAAGGAGTTTCCTGACTGTCCTGTGTAATCGTCTTCCCTGATTTATCGTTTTTCTTTAACACCTATCAATATCTAATATACTATATATTTTAACTTATATTGCTGATTTTCTTGCCCAGAATTTAAGCTGGGCAGGAGTTTTTTTTTTTTTTTTTTTTTGGTCCAGTGTTGTACCCCCAATGTCTATATCAATGCTTTACTTACAATAAGCATTCAACATTTATGGAAGAAATAAATCATATACAACCCATCCATTAAAATAAAATAAAATAAAATCAGCTCATTCATGGCAGTAGGCTAAAAAATTTATTTCATAGGAAATGTGTAGTAATTATTGTACTTTTGCTTAAAGTTTAAAAAATATAAGTAGGATTTAAGAAGATGAACACTCATACATGGCTGGTTGGCATTTAACTTGGTCAGCCACTATATATATATATTTTTTTTGACAGAGTCTCATTCTGTCACTCAGGCTGGAGTGCACTGGCGCAGTCTCAATTCACTGCAACCTCCACCCCCCGGGCTCAAGCAGTCATCCTGGCCTCAGCCTCCCGAGTAGCTGGGATCACAGGCACACACCAGCGTACCCAGCTAAGTTTCGCTTGTTTGTTTTCAGACTTTCACCATGTTGCCCAGGTTGGTTTTGAACTCCTGGACTCAAGCAATCCAACAGCCTCAGCCTCCTAAAGTGCTGGAATTACAGGCCTGGCTTTTGTAACAGTTTAAAAAAGCCTATAAAAATTAACAAATCTTAGAAATTCTGCTTCTTGGAACTTATCCTAATAAAAAGAATAACTTTAAAAGTCTAGATACAAGCATGTTTATTTCAGAATATTTCATAATAGTAAAAGACTCAATTCAGTAAACCTATAAACATGAGTGATTAGGTAAGTTATGGTAAAGTTAAAAAATGGAATACTGTGTAGCCATTAAAAAGCTATATTGTACATTAATTTGTCACAGAAAAGTGTTTATTATATATTAAGTAAAATGGATTATAAAATAGACGTTTATTATCAGTTTCTACTGGCTCTTTTTTAAAGTATAAATGTATGTTTTTAAAAACCTGGTAGAGTGGGGCATGGTGGCTTACACCTGTAATCTCAGCACTATAAGAGGGCAAGGCTGGAGGATCTCTTGAGCCCAGGAGTTCAAGACCAGCTTGGGCAACATAGTGGGACCCTGTCTCTAGAAAAAATTTTAAAAATTAGCCAGGTGTGGTGGCATGTTCCTATAGTACCCAGCTACTTAGGAGGCTGAGGTAGCAGGAGGATTGCTTGAGCCCAGGAAGTTAATGCTGCAGTGAGCTGTGATCATCCTAGTGTATTCCAGCTTGGGTAACAGTGTGACTGTATCTTAAAAACAAACAAACAAACAAACAAAACCTGGTAGTACCAAAGTGTTAATGACTGTTATCTGTGGATTGTGAGATGATCTGTTTGTTTAAAACAGTTGTTATGCTTGTTCTTTAAAAACTTTTCCTCAGTGAAGGGCTAATATGAAGTAACAAACTCCCCTAGACTGCTCTCTCTATCTCTCTTGCTTTATTTTTGTCTTAGTGGTTATCACTCTCTAACATGCATACCTTTTACTTATATTTGTCAGTCTATCACCACCCCCACTAGAAAGTAAGTTTCTTAAGGGCAGGGACTTTGTTTTGTTCACTGCTATATTCCAGGAGTCTAGGAAAGTATCTAGCATATAGTAGGTGCCATAAATGTGTGTTGAATAAATCAATAATGGTACATAGAAGATACATGCCACATTTTATAGCACGCACTTTTGATATCAGAGGAATTTGTGTAGATAATTAAAGTATTTTAATGAGATTTTTCCCCCTTATTTTTCAAGGTTTCTAAATACTCTTTACAGAAGAAAGTGAGTGAAATGGTAAGGAAATTACAAAACATATTTTCCCCCATCTGGATTAGTACTTAGGGGGATTGGTGTTTTTGGGAATAAAATGTGACATTTATAGTGAAAAAATTAATTGTTGAAACTGAATATTACTGTCTCCAGTAATATGAAAGGGGATATTTGCAATTTCACATGTTGCATAAATGAATTATTTCACAAATTTATTTCGAGATTACATAGTACTTATACAGGTTGAGCATCCCAAATCTGAAAACTCAAAATTTGAAATGCTTCAAAATTGGAAACTTTTTGAGTGTCAACATGATGCTCTAAGAAAATGCTCATTGGAGTATTTTGGACTTTAGATTTTTGCATTTGAGATGCTTAACCCGTAGGTATAATGCAAATATTCCAAAATCCCAAAATATCCCAAATATGAAACACTTCTGGTCCCAGCATTTCTGATTAGAGATATTCAACCTATATGTTTAAAATAAATTTTACACAGTTCCCAAATTATTGTTAGGGTCTTATAGTAAAAACAAATAACAAAACTCTAAAACCTCTTATTTTAATGGTATCTTTTCTAGATATTTATGTAAACATGTAATTATTAATTATAGTGTGAAAAAATTGAAATGTATGAAGTAGTATTTAGGATATAATATTTATCCCTTATCAGTGTACACTTGGGATATGGTACTGATCCTATATTGTTCAACAAATATTTATTTACTGTGCATTCCTCTTTTATAGTCTGTTAAAAACTAATGTTTTTGCTTTTTACAGCATAACATTTTAGGGAATATTTACTTTGATATTTTTCCCTTCTAGCTCTATTTTATTCAGAAGGATTTTTTTTTCTGTGTTTTTGGTTGAGCAAAATTTTCCTATATCCACTCAAATTGTCAAAGGGCTTTTTGGGTGGGGCTATGCTATTCAGTCTTCATTCTTTGGAGCAGACTGTAAAGCAAGTAAAATTAATTTTTGAGTAAGGCTTATATATTATATACATGAGAAGTAAGAAATGAACTATCACCCCTTCTGACATTACATAGAAAAACATAAAGTATTTTGCTTCTTGAAATTGTTTGGTGTGTTAGAAAATAAGAGTCATAGACTGCTAAGCTTGATTGAATAAAAGATGTGAAAATTCTGTTGCTATTCAACTGGAAAGAATAAAAATAATATTGTCAGACTATTTTAAACCATGATTTTAATTAAGAAGCTGAAAAACTAGATTCTGGTTTAGCTTTAAGTACCATGACATTTGTACTGAAAGTCATCTTCAACGCTACAGTGGTTTTACACAAAATATAGTGAAATTGAATAATGTGCCCTTTGACCTGGGAGATAAGGCTACAAGTTAAAGATCAAAGGCAACATAAAATGTGTTTTATTTTATTCCACTTTCAAATTTCATCAAACAGATACTTACAATCTTTAAAAAAAAACATGGAAACATGTATATACTTATTCTAGTTTTTGGTCACTTCTAAGCTTTTTGTTATTGTGAATTACAACATTTATACTTACTAAAATGATATTTCAGTTATAGTCATAATATTTTTTCTGACAGTTTAAAGCATTGCATCACTTTTAATTTAAAAAGTTTTATATGTTGGTATATATATTTAATATTTTATATTCATTCTGGCAGAACATTTATATTTTGGATTTAAAAGTTAGAAGTACCCCTTTTTCTAAGCATTCTTACTTATATTCATTTTACATTATTCCTGTTACATTATTATTATATAATTCAGATGACTTGTTCTTTATTCAAAGTGCGGTATAGTATTCAGTAATTCAGTTAATCTTATTTTATTCCAAGCAGTACATTATTCTTTTATGTTATTTGGTTCTATGGGCAAGACAGGAAACAAGATAGCCACTAGTGTGAAGGCACGACTTTGGGGAGCAATAAAGTTAGGGTCCTAAAAGAAATAACTTGAAAAATACTATTAAGAAAATTTCAAGTTTATGAGCTCCTATAGGTAAGTCCTTAACTACTAGTAAGTTTCTGTCTTCTGTGATTCAGTAAGCTGATTTTCTTTTAGAGGTGGTGATAGGTTCTGAGATAAATTAACATAATCACAAATCAAACGATTTTTCCATCCCTAAAAGTACCTCCCCTTTGAAAAAATCACGATCATTACCAATTAAAAGGATGCAATAAAAACATGTGAGAGAGAAATCTTAGGACATTACATTCACCATCATTGTGATCTGGTCATTGATACAAATTTTTCCTGCTGTGTTTAGTGATTACTACATAGATGACCATGTTGGGTAATAATTGAATTTATCGGTGTCTGTGTTGTAAAACTGAATAGCTAATATAGCTTAATGAAGGAAGTAAACTTATCAAACCATTGTCGTATTGTTTTTCTCTTCTGTATATCATTTTCCTCTAAATAAAAGATTTACAAGAAAGCCTTTTTCTTTATGAAGTTAAAGCAATTTCAATATTGAAAGTTTTGATAGATTAAGAATAACCACATACTTTCTTTCCCAGTAGAATATTTTTAAACTGAAGACTTATCTGGAAGTAACTTCATAATCATAAATATTATGTATATATGTACACACATATATTAGCAGCATGACTTTAGGTTTTTAAAGTAATCTATGCCTCATATTTGCAACTGAAAAGGTAAGGATATCTTAAGAAAGATGCCATAGATTTTTGAAAATTGAGTTTTATAACTCCATTGATTTAGTTTGGGTTCATATTGAAGAAATTAGAAGATTAGTTACAAAATTGTAAATGAGTGTGTTAAATTTATATTTTGATTGTTATCTTTTCCTCTAAAGTTTACTCTTAACAAACTGATTGTTTTAAGGGAAACTAATTTTATCTCCAGAAGTTTTCAAATCAGTCTCCTTAAGTAAATAGGAAAAGGGAGAAATGTGAAGCTGTGCATTTTATCAGTAAATATATTTCTAAAAAGTTGTGTGTAAATATTTTTACATTATTCCCATTTTAAATGCTTCAAGGCTTTAAAGTAAGCTTTTAGACTACACACATACATATAATTATGGATATGCTATTTTTCCGCTAATCTTGACTTTCATAGATTAGATTTGTTTAAAATGAGGTGTACATGTGTTTAGGAAGCAATGAATGCTGACATTTTTTGTAGACTGTGTTTGCATTTGATAGTAAAACTACGTAAAAGAAAAAATAATTTGAGTCGATTCATGCAGATAGAAAAACCAAACAATATGTACTTAACTATTTCTTAATCATCTCAATAAAATAGCCTTATAATACATTAAAGTTTTAATAGTAAAAATCAATTTATTTGTATTCTTTAAAATATTCTTACATCTCTAAAGTGTTATTACCACTTACTTTTTGTTGTTGCTTTTCAGAGAATTTAAACCATTTGTTGATAGTCATGAAATTAGTGGCAAACTGGACAATGGACCTCTTCATCTCATTTTCAAAACTAAATCAGGGTAGTAAACTACGTTCATATAGGCATATATGGGCTAATATGCTGTAGGTGCCTATGTGATTTAGAAGTCTTAATGTTATATATCATGGCCATTGAATAGGCTAATGTGTTTGAAAATCAGAATTATGTCATGCAAACAAATGCAATGAAACTGCATTTTCATTAAATTCAATTTTTGCCCCAAAGAATGTTGGAAGAGTGTATCAGAAATTACTCTAATGTATATAAAGCTCTATGCATGAAATCTCCTTTGATCTTTGCTACATTTTTAGTTAACAGAATTGTTAACCTTTGTAGGCATTGACTACCTATTTTATTCATCACTTTTTAGCTGAAAGGTTAAGAAAGCTTTTGTGGGATCATGTATTATGCAGTAGAGAGTATTCTAATGAAGGCTACGTAAATATTGATTAGAATCAAAAATCAAAACTTCCTTGAATTGGCCGGGCACAGTGGCTCACACCTGTAATCCTAGCACTTTGGGAGGCCAAGGCGGGTGGATTGCCTGGGTTCAGGAGTTCGAGGCCAGCCTGGGCAACACAGTGAAACCCCGTCTCTATTAAAATACAAAAAATTAGCTGGGTGTGGTGGTGCGCACCTGTAGTCCTAGCTACTCGGGAGGCTGAGGCAGGAGAATTGCCTGAACCTGGGAGGTGGAGGTTGCAGTGAGCCGAGATCGTGCCACAGCACTCCACCCTGGGTGACAGAGAGAGACTCCATCTCCAAAAAAATAAATAAAAAATAAAAACTTCCTTGAATTGAAAAAATGCCATTAACCCAGTTTTCAGTGAAATTGTGTTAGGTTTCTAGACATCTGCTGAGAGCTAATATAATTCTCTCAATCAGAAATTAAGGGGTATTTTAGAAGAAAGCAATATGGTTCATTATTGCTCACCATTACTAATAATAGTAACTACCCAGGTAGGCATAAGCTCTCCAGGACTAAGTACATTTATCAACTTGTTTGCATTGATAACTGCTGCACAATTAAATAAGTAGTTAAAAGCCTGATGACATACATGAGAAATTTTCAACTGATATATCATAATTATTACCAATAATATATCATGTTTAAAATCATTAAAAAATAGCTTTGAAAAAGTTAAGACTGTCATCAGACTTGCCAAGATAATATAGTTAGGTACAACTTAAATTGTAATGTGTGTTCTTCGTGTGTGTGTCTGTGTGTGTGTGTATATATATATATTTTTTTTTTTTTTTTGTGACGGAGCCTTGCTCTGTCACCCAGGCTAGAGTGCAGTGGCGTGATCTCAGCTCACTGCAACCTCTGCCTCCTGGATTTAAGTGATTCTCCTGCCTCAGCCTCCCCAGTAGCCGAGATTACAGGTGTGTGCCACCATGCCTGGCTAATTTTTGTATTTTTAGTAGAGACAGGTTTCACCATGTTGGCCAGGCTGGTCTCGAACTCCTGACCTTGTGATCCGTCCACCTTGGCCTCCCAAAGTGCTGGGATTACAGACGTGAGCCACCATGACCCAGCCCTTCGTGAATATTTTTTAAAAGGCCATGCTTATTCTAAATAAAAGTTAATTAAAACTACCAGTTAAGGAATAATAACAATCATTTTATTGTGATTTTTATATGATGGGCTTTGCTTTTTAGTGCTTTATTTATATTAATTCATTTTATCCTCACAGCAACCTTATGAGTGAAATACTATTATAAACTTCTTCCTAAAAATAGGGTAGATAATTTACCCAAGGTCACCCTAAGTTGCAGAAACAAGATGTAAACATAGGCAGACTAGCTTTTGACCACTGTGCTCTACTACCTGTACTTTGGTTTTTCTTTTCTTTTTTTATTTTGAGACGGAGTCTCACTCTAGTGCCCAGGCTGGAGTGCAGTGGTGCAATCTTAGCTCACTGCAACCTTTGCCCCCAGGGTTCAAGTGATTCTGCTGCCTCAGCCTTCCAGGTAGCTGGGATTACAGGTGCCCGCTGCCACATCTGGCTAATTTTTGTATTTTTAGTAGAGACAGGGTTTCACTATGTTGGCCAGGCTGGTCTCGAACTCCTGACTTCAAATGATCTGCCTGCCTCCACCTCCCAAAGTGCTGGGATTACAGGCCTGAGCCACTGTGCTCGGCCTGTACTTTGGTTGTGGGTTTTTTTTTTTTTTTTTTTTTTTTGAGATGGAATCTTGCTCTTTTGTTTGCCTAGGCTGGAGTGCAGTGTCACGATCTTGGTTCACTGCAACCTCTGCCTCCTGGGTTCAAATGATTCTCCTGTCTCAGCCTCCTGAGTAGCTGGGATTACAGGCGCGCATCACCATGCCCGGCTAATTTTTGTATTTTTAGTAGAGACGGGGTTTCACCATGTTGGTCAGGATGGTCACGAACTCCTGACCTTGTGATCTACCCGCCTTATCCTCCCAAAGTGCTGGAATTACAGGTGTGAGCCACTGCGCCTGGCCTGTACTTTGGTTTTAAGCAATAAGAAATGGCTCTGGTTAACTTATGTAAAAGGAAATTTAGGGGAGGCATTCACAATCAACCAGAGAATAAAGAATTGCTTGAGAATGAACAGGGGACCCAGAGTAATTCCAGAGTTTGTGAGGCAGGATGTAGGGACCCACAACAGAGGTCTCATATCAGTTCAGATAGGATCACTACTGAACTTCTCTAGTTTTAGATAGTCTTTTTGCTCAAGATTCAAATTCCAAGAAAGTAGCTATCAATTGGTTTATTTTGAGTAATATGCCCTTCTGTTAATTAGGGAAGAATAGGACCCCTGAATTTTAGTCCTGTTGTAATGTTTAGTCCATGTTGTAATGAAGTTTAGTCCATGTTGTAATGAAGAAAAAGTATTTCAATAAAGTAAATAGTGGTGCTGTTAGGTAAGGGAAATGGATGCTGGCTAGGCAAAATCAAATTTTTACTATTAAAACTCTATAAGACAACAACAGTTCATTCAGAAAACAATTATTGAGTGCCAGTTCATGGGCCTATACTGTTCTTTGTTTAGAACTGCTCATCATAGAAAGTGAAGCAGTTGGGAAAAAAAATGAATGAAAGTTGTGAAACCAATTAATGATTCTGCTAATGTCAAGTGAAGATAAAAAACTTCTAACAAGTGTTATTGATTTTATTAACATAATATTTTTTAAGAGTTAAAAGTCATATCGCAGGTATGGTAAGAGTAGTTCCTTTAGCTGAAAGCAGTAGAGGCCCATATAATATTATATAAGTAAGGTCTAATTTTTACCAATTATGTCTCCAGTTTAAGTAGACTATCTACTATCATATGTTGCCTCCCTGTCACTGAGAGATATCCTTGTCATTTCATTTCTTTTTCTCTTTTAGCGATGGGGTCTTGCTTTGTCACCTGGGCTGGAGTTCAGCGGCTGAGCATAGCTCACTGCAGCCTTAAACTCCTAGCCTCAAGCAATCCTCCCACCTCAACTTCCCAAGTAGCTAGGACTACAGGCATGTGCCACCATGCCCAGATAACTTGTTTTATTTTTGTAGAGATGGGGTCTTGCTATATTGCCTAGGCTGGTCTCAAACTCCTGGCCTCAAGCATTCTTCCTGCCTCATCATTTCATTTCTTAATGCAGTGAGAAGGTACTATATTAATTAAAATCAGTCTCAGAAAAATTACTTGAATTTTGGTAGTGTACATTGAAATTATTCTAGCAAATTGAAAGGGCAAAGAATCAAAACAGTGATCTAGATAGGTCCTGATTATTCAAATGATTTAGAGAAAAAATACCTCGTAAAGTACCAAAAGTATTGCTTTTTCTCCTCACTTTTCTTAGTGTTAGGCTGATTAACATTTTTTATAAAAATATTTTGAAAAAGAAATTGCAAACAAGGGAAACATAACCTGAAGTGACTATTTTGCTACAGGAAAAATATGTTTGCTTTAGTTTTACATAGATTTAGAAATATCTCCTAACAAATATTTCCTCCTTACAGTTTACTCAGAGAGTACTTTTAAATGACATTTATTTATGTTATATTACTAACAACAGTGGTTTACCACAATATATTTTACATATTTGTTGTGTGTGGCGATGTGTGTGTGTTATATGTATAACATTTAAAATTACTCTTCAAAATAGGAACAAAAGGTCCAGTTACATCTTCTGGCTAAAGAAGACTATCATAAGCAACTGAGTGAAATTGAGAAATATTATGCCACAATAACAGGTCAATTTGGATTGGTAAAAGAGAATCATGAAAAGTTAGAACAAAATGGTATGTGCTATCTTATTTAAATATACATATTCAGTAGAGAATGTTTGAATGGACTTATTTACTATGAATACATTGAATATCTATGATAATACTGATAATAGTAAATGGCAGTTAATAACTGTTACCTAAATTAAATAACATATATATTGCATTGTTACTGTTTTCCCTGTTTATCTTAATGATACTTTCTTTGAAATATACATTGAATATAATGCTTTCTTAAATGTCTTTCATGTTGCAGTACGGGAAGCAATACAATCAAACAAAAGACTTTCAGCTTTAAATAAAAAACAAGAAGCTGAAATATGCAGTTTAAAGAAGGTATGATTGATACAGTTTCACACTACTAAGTAAAAATTATAATATAAAATAGTCTTATGCGCTATTACTAGAGGACAGTTGGGTAGAATTTTTTGGTAGAGGATAAATTGTTTTCAATACAGATGCATAAATTTTGAGTTATGATTCCAGTAAAGGTAATTAGTGCATTTGTTGCAATCCATTCAAAATATTATTTCTTTGACTTGTGACCAGTAGCATGCATTTTTATGATCACATGAATACCTTATAAGGATTCATTGTATGTCATCCTTATTAGCACCATTCATTCAATATTTATTGAGTGACTTTTATATACTGGGTGCTATGTGGCACTAAGGATACAGCTATGAAGAAAATAAAACATGTTTCTACTTTTACGAAAGTTAGAGTCTGGTGGTGGAGTTAGATGTAAAACAAATAATTACACAGACTAAATAATGTAAAACTATTATAAATGAGCAGAAGAAAAAGTGAAAGATGTGATGACATCACAGGTGACTTTATTAGATTGGGGGTAAGAGGGTGAAGGAGGGAAGGGAGTAATGTTTCAGGCAAGGGGAATAGCATGTGCAAAAGCTTTGAGACAGGAAAGAGTTTAGTATATTTGAGGAACTAAAAAAAGTCTGATATGGCTGGAGCATCATGAATGAAGCTGTGAATCGAACATTTATTTGTTGCTTACTGAGATTCAGTATCCGCTTGCCTTCTTCCTAACCTTATCTAGATTTTTGTTTTGATGTCTCCAGCTTTAGAGCTGAGCCCCAAATTGGCAGGAGAACACAAACATATTTCTTTCTTCTGACCATAGGCATTGGTTCAGGTATAGATAAATGACTTTAGCTAGCTTCTGATTATAAACCAGGAAGAACATAACCTCTATTGTGGCTGGCAGTCAGCCTACAATAGGCTGAGAAAAGCCAAAAAATAGGAACCTGACAATGTGGATGCCAGATTGGTATGACATAAAGAAACCTGTTCTTTGATGACATTATTGAGTAACTGGATCAACCAACCCTGCTTCTTGTCCTACCTCTAGACATTTAAATTATGTGAACCAATAAGTTCCCATTATTTAAGCCAGGTTGGTTAGGGCCAATTCAGTTTTCCATGATTTGCAACTAAAAATATTCCAACTGACACAAAGGGAGAGTTGGTACAAGAGGAAGAAGTAGGTAAGGCTTTGTTCTTTCTGTAGAGAATGATATCTGTTTTCCTTTTCCCACTCCCTTCCAATCCCTCTCTCGATACTGCTTTGAATCATTTTAGGACCACCTCCCTACCTCTGAGAGAATTAAGTACCTATGCTTACTGGCACTCCATAAATATTTTGAAACAATATTTACTGAGTACCATTTAAAATGCACTTAATTTGTAGTTATTTATTATATTGGCATGCAAAAAAATCTTCTGTTTGCCCCTCCAGATCTATACTTACCTTTTGAAGGCTTATGTATATGGGTTGCATCAATGGGCTTCCACGTCTTCTGACTTCCTGTTGAGCTGGGCCAGTGGAGAGCCTAGGCAGGAGATGGGAGGAAGAAGAGAGTGAATCAGGGTATTTATTCCCCCTGTTCCTTCCCTCTGAGATAACTTCAGGCTGGCCATGTGCCTCAACAGATCACTACTTCTCTCAAATTGGCGTAATCTACATGATACTCTCCCTTTTGGGGTTCCAGTAACCTCTCTTCTTGACCTTCTGGGTCTAGAGGTGGTGACAGCTACAGTGCTGCTAGTCAGTGGAACTTGAGCCATCCCTTGTGGTTCTTTTATATCCTTCGTGCACCTTTGCAAATAAACCCATCTTCAGGTTATCCTAGTTGATGTTTGCCATCTGTTTCCGTTGGGATTCTGACATACACTTGTTTAGGGTAAAACATTAGTGAGGCCAAAGTTAGGAATTCAATTTTGTATAGGCTAGTTGATTCAGTACAGAGAAAGTTGTTTCACAGTCAAAGATTGCACTCTAAACCTCACCTATATTTTTTAGTTGTATATTTTGGACTCAAGGGATAAATGAATATGAATGAAATGAATACTAATTTGGGTCAATGTTGTCATCTTGACGCTAAAGGATCCTATTTTTAAAAGGAAAAAAATACCAAAAATTGAAGCATTTATACCTTTATATATACATAGACTTTCACTATTTTAATATAATTTAATATATTTTAATTAATAAACTATTTTTAGAGCAGTTTTAGGTTCACAGCAAAACTGAATAGAAAGTACAGAGTTCCTGTATACTTCCTGTCCTCACACATGCACAACCTCTCCCACTATCACATCCTCACTAGCATTTGGTGTTGTCAGTGTTTTGGATGTTGGTCATTTTGATTGGTGTGTAGTGGTATCTTGTTTTGATTTGCAATTCCCTAATGACATATGATGTTGAACATATTTTCATATACCTACTTGTCATCTGTGTGTATTTTTTGTTAAAGTGTCTGTTCAGGCCTTGGGCCCATTTTTTAATTGGGTTGTTTGTTTTCTTATTGTTGAGTTTTAAGAGTTCTTTATATATTTTGGATAGCAGTACCTTCTAAATGCTAAGCCAGAGTTTGAAGACCATTAATATTATAATACTATTGACTGTGATATGTATATCTTCACTGTTACAACTGCCAATAAATTGGTTATATATTCCTTGGACTTCATTCTTATACCTGAGGGATCAGAAAGTAAAAGCATAGGTGTATTTCAGTACAGAACATTAGGATGGGTGGTGATAATCATGTTTCTGGCCCTTAAAAGTCTGTCTATTTAGCAAACTACTTAAGAGTACAATTAATATATATGTAGAAAACATTTCTTTTTAGATACATCCTCGAAAATTAGAGGTGGCTCTTTTTAATATAAAGAGAAAAAGCTATAATTTAAAAAATCTGTTTGGAATCCCAAGTAAGAATTATTAAAAGGACCACTCATTTCTATCAGTATAAACTTCAAATACAAATATAAATAACTATTAAATCAGTAGGTGTGAATAAACACATTTTCATTGATGTCTCTTTGGTTCATTTATGTGTTAATATTTTTAACAATGACTTTAGTAATTAAATAACATTCATATTAATTTGGTGATTAAAATATTAATAAGCCTTTATACAATTAGTTTATGCATTCTTATGAAAATATGCCTCATAAATTCTGTACTAATTTTTTGCATTAAATGAAAACAGATGTTTCATTGTAACATAATAGACTATTATATTTCTTTTTTCTTTCGACAGAGTCTTGCTCTGTTGCCCAGGCTGGAATGCAATGGCGCAATCTCGGCTCATTGCAACCTCTGCCTCCTGGGTTCAAGCCATTCTCCTGCCTCAGCCTCCCAAGTAGCTGGGACTACAGGCATGCACCACCATGCCTAGCTAATTTTTGTATTTTTAGTAGAGACGGGGTTTCACTGTCTTGGCCAGGCTGTTCTCAAACTCCTGACCTCAAGTGATCTGCCCGCCCAAAGTTCTGGGATTACAGGTTTGAGTCACCATGCCTGGCCTGCCTATTATATTTCTAATGCACAATTTAAGACTCTGACCTATGGATGTAGATGAGGCTCATGTAGATTCATGGAGAGATACCCTTAGTGGATTTATGTAAGAAGGCGCAGAATGTCTTTCTATGCGTGAGAAGAATGGTGTTGCTCATGAGAACACTAGCCTCTTTCTCTCAGGTCTTGGGGCCTAGGCTAGGGCTACCTAAATGTACTAACATGTCATGCAGTAGTGGCCTCTGTCACTCTAGAAACTATTAGTGTCAGTGTTCATGCTGCAAAGTTGTTCTTGGAAGACAGACTGTTATAGAAGGGTAAAGTGAGAAAATTTAATTACCTTTGCGACTTCAAAGTTCAAGTAACTGAAAGGGTGAGAATTTTAAAATACATATTCAGAGCCAGTTTTTAATATTGTAGACATTCTAAGTACACTAATTTTAAATTTTATGTGTCTTATGTAGCTTTGATTTTTAACTTTGGGAAAAGCTTGTTTTTTTGTTAACTTTCAGAAGAGAATCAAATTTTATAACATTGGTTATATCACTTATTTAAAACTTCTAATCACTAATTCTCCCAAAGACAATTTCCATTTTTATTATACTGTTCTATGATTTTGTCCAGAACAGTTGTTATTGGTTTGTGATAAGATGGAATTTCTTTTTTTTTTTTTTTTTTTGGAGCAAAGTTAAACAGACCAAACTTAGTGGTTAGATAAAAACTAGGTATTACCATTCTGAATGCTGAGTTCACCATTATGGCAATCATGAAGAATTCCTGATACTATCTATGAGCAGCATTCATAACCTCTGCTGTTTGTCTGAGTAAATGTCAGAGCACTCAAGGAGATAGTGATATTAAACAGACTACCCCATACCAGAAAGGGAGGGGTGAAGGAGAAAAGAGCGCAATATTTATGACTGCAGGAACTATAAGTTGTAATTTAATGAGATCAAAGCATTGCTGTTTATTTGCTGCACTAATAGCTTTGAATAAAATGGTTAGAAAACAGACAGTGTACTAAAAGTTCAGGATATTTAAAGGCTTATAAAGTCTATAAAATCAAAAGCATGTTTTTCAGTGGAAGATCTTTTCCTGAGGTCTCTGATTTTAATTTATTATGCTCTTGAGATTAAGTAATTAATATATAAAAGAAAAAGAAAGATGTAAGAAATTACTAGTTTTTACTTTTGTCAGTCATATACTGATTTTCTATACCCTTCTCCTCCCCGCCTCCCTATTGTCTTATAGCAATAATTGTAATAGGAATTGATGCATTTTAGAGTATCTCCTACAAGACTTAGCTGATTATAACAGCTCCATGTTTTCAATTGTTGAAAAATGTAGAAAAACATAGACATTTGTCGCATTTTGTAATCTTGAAGAGGAAAAAACTTTTAGAAAACCAATCTTTATGTAGAGAATTAAAAGCCATTTTATCCAAATATAAGTTTTACCCATATACCTGTTATCAATAGGACATTGCGTTTTAGGAGTGAACCTAGAACAGATCACTAGTGTAAAACAAGCTATCAATAATTTTTTTTTTTTTTTTTGAGACAGAGCCTTGCTCTGTTGCCCAGGCTGGAGTGCAGTGGTGCAATCTTGGCTCACTGCAAGCTCCGCCCCCCAGGTTCACGCCATTCTCCTGCCTCAGCCTCCTGAGTAGCTGGGACTACAGGCACCGGCCACCACGCCGGGCTAATTTTTTGTATTTTTAGTAGAGACGGGGTTTCACCGTGTTAACCAGGATGGTCTCGATCTCCTGACCTTGTAATCCGCCTGCCTCTGCCTCCCAAAGTGCTGGGATTACAGGTGTGAGCCACTGTGCCTGGCCGCTATCCAATAATTTACTTTCTAAGTCATGTGGATATCTATTTCATCCAGGGGTATATTGCTTTAGGAAAAAATATAGGAAAATCAAAATTGCAAGGAATTATTGCTGGTTTTCCTTTGAAACTTATCTTAGTGCATAAGAAAGCACCTTTAAAGCAAGCTGTTAGAAACCCTATTGTGTAAAGAAAGGTGTACATTATTTTAAAGCCAATATGATTAGTATCTTTTTTAAAAAGTAGACTCAATTGACAACCCCACTGCTGGGTATACACCCAAAGAAAAAGAAATCAGTATATTGAAGAGATATCTGCACTCCCATGTTTGTTGCAGCACTGTTCACAATAGCCAAGATTCGAAAGCAACCCAAGTGTCCATCAACAGATGAATGGATAAAGAAAATGTGGTACCCATACACAGTGGAGTACTATTCAGCCACGAAGAAGAATAAGATACTGTCATTTGCAAAAACATGGATAGAACTAGAGGTCATTATGTTAAGTGAAATAAGCCAGGCACAGAAAGATAAACATTACAGTTCTCATTTATTTGTGGGATCTAAAAATCAAAATAATTGAACTCATGGAGATAGAGAGTAGAATGATGGTTACCAGAGCCTGGGAAATGTAGTGAGGGGCGGGGTGGGGGGAAGATGGGTGTGGTTAATGGGTACAAAGAAATTAGAAAGAATGAATAAGACATAGTATTTGATAGCACAACAGGGTGATTATTGTCAGTGATAATTGTATATTTAAAAATAACTAAATAGTAATTGGATTTTTTATAACACAAACGATAAATCCTTCAGGGGATGGGTACCCCATTTTCTATGATGTGACTATTACACACTGCATACGTATATCAGAACATTTAATATACCCCATAAATATATACACCTATGTACCCATAAAAATTAAAAATTAAAAAAATCAGTTGAGCATAAAAGATTTCCTTTTGTTATTCTCATGTTAAACTCTGTACTAGAAAACAATATAAATATCAGTCAAACATCCTATAAATATGAATTTGGATGAAATCTTTAGGGTTCTGTAGCAGATATTTTACCTTTGAATTAATTTCATAATTTTTTAAGACGTTAATTACTGAAACAACTAGATTTATTTTTATATCCTTCAGTATCCATAGTTGTTTTAATTATTATCTCATGTTTTTGAATATTTTTCCACAGTGGAAATTATGAATTCAATAAGTTATTTTGTTCAATAAGTTAAGTCAAAGACCATCTGGCCTATGGACTTGAATAATTATTTATTATACTTGTTTTCTACTGTGTACTTGCATCTGAACTTATTCAAAATTTACTTATTTTAAACTCACAGTTTAGGGCTGCTGGTTACAACACTGAAGGTTTTTCTCTAGCCATAAAATATGCTGTTAACATATTTAACATAATGTTTACCACTCACCGTCTACTAACCTTTATTTTGGCAGTATTGGTAATAAAACTGCACTTGTCTGTTCACACTTAAATCAGAAACATCTATGTGTAACATGGTGATGTAAAGGGCTGTGGTTGTTACCTTGAATGGAGTAAAGTAGCTAGTTCAATCAGTGATTGAACTGTCACTATACTTACACATACCACTTTCTAAGCAACCTTGCTAATTGACCATGAACCTTTGTGTCATTAACAATAGTATGCTTGAGTGATATGACTGCTCTCATCAAGTATTTTTTTTTGCCATTTACTTTTATCCTGAGTAAATCCAATCTTTGATTTTATCAACTTTTATATTAGACAAAGGTAAATCGCATTTTTCTTTATATCATGTTCATTACTCTTTTCTACTTACATTTATTATAATTTGTAGTTTCTCTTAGATCTTTGAATCTATTAAGGTACTACAGGATATTTAAGTATGAAACATGGTGCATTTTCTTGAGGAGCTTATGGTCTATAGGAAAGCCTTTATTGTTACCGGCTATGAGATAATTAATCTTAATTATTTAAATACATAAAGGAATACTTAAATATTCATGCCATTTATTAGTACTTGAGAGTACTTTATTTTACCAGTAGGGAAAATAATTCTACATCACAGTGCAGCTGTAGCAATTACAGAATCCCTTGAATTCGGCTTAGTAGAAGTAATAGGTAACAGTGCCTTGCACGTGGTAGATGCTCAAATACTGGTTGCATGGATTATTACATGCCAGGGACTTTTTATTTATTATCTCCATTTTATAGATGAGGAACTTAAAGCAAAATGAAGTTATTAAGTAAGTTGCCTAAAGTTATACAACAAGGAAAAGAGAGCCAAGATTGGAACACAGACAAATTTTGTCTGTAGAACCTCTGATCTTAACCATTCCACTGATAATAATAGCAGCACAAGCAATTCATTCACATAAGTTTTTTCTCTCCTGTATTCTCCATTAGGAATAATATATTTATTAAAAGGGGACATTGTTGGGGGGTGGTTCCAAGATGGCTGAATAGGAACAGCTCCAGTCTACAGCTCCCAGTGTGAGCGATGCAGAAGACAGGTGATTTCTGCATTTCCAACTGAGGTACCAGGTTCATCTCATTGGGGCTTGTTGGACAGTGGGTGCAGAGCAGTGGGTGTAGCCCACCAAGAGTGAGCTGAAGCAGGGCGAGGCATCGCCTCACCAGGGAAGTGCAAGGGGTCAGGGAATTCCCTTTCCTAGCCAAGGGAGCTGTGACAGACGGCACCTGGAAAATCGGGTCACTCCCACCCTAATACTGCGCTTTTCCAATGGTCCTAGCAAATGGCACACCAGGAGATTATATCCTGTGCCTGGCTTGGACGGTGCCACACCCACGGAGCATTGCTCACTGCTAGCACAGCAGTCTGAGATCAAACTGCAAGGCAGCAGCGAGGCTGGGGGAGGGGCACCCACCATTGCTGAGGCTTGAGTAGGTAAACAAAGCGGCCAGGAAGCTCGAACTGGGTGGAGCCCACCACAGCTCAAGGAGGCCTGCCTGCCTCTGTAGACTCCACCTCTAGGGGCAGGGCATAGCCAAACAAAAGGCAGCAGAAACCTCTGCAGACTTAAATGTCCCTGTCTGACAGCTTCGAAGAGAGTAGTGGTTCTCCCAGCACGGAGTTTGAGATCTGAGAATGGACAGACTGCCTCCTCAAGTGGGTCCCTGACCTCCGAGTAGCCTAACTGGGGGGCACACCCCAGTAGGGGCAGACTGACACCTCACACGGCCGACCGTGTGCCCCTCTGAGACGAAGCTTCCAGAGGAACAATCAGGCAGCAACATTTGCTGTTGAGCGATATTCACGGTTCTGCAGCCTCTGCTGGTGATAGCCAGGCAAACAGGGTCTGGAGTGGACCTCCAGCAAACTCCAACAGACCTGCAGCTGAGGGTCCTGACTGTTAGAAGGAAGACTAACAAACAGAAAGGACATCTACACGAAAACCCCATCTGTACGTCACCATTATCAAAGACCAAAGGTAGATAAAACCACAAAGATGGGGAAAAAACAGAGCAGAAAAGCTGAAAATTCTAAACATCAGAGTACCTCTCCCCCTCCAAAGGAACGCAGCTCCTCGCCAGCAATGGAACAAAGCTGGATGGAGAATGACTTTGACGGGTTGAGAGCAGAAGGCTTCAGACAATCAAACTTCTCCGAGCTAAAGGAGGAAGGTCGAACCCATCGCAAAGAAGCTAAAAACCTTGAAAAAAGATGAGATGAATGGCTAACTAGAATAACCAGTTTAGAAAAGTCCTTAAATGACCTGATGGAGCTGAAAACCACGGCACGAGAACTACATGACGAATGCACAAGCTTCAGTAGCCGATTCGATTAACTGGAAGAAAGAGTACCAGTGATTGAAGATCAAATGAATAAAATGAAGTGAGAAGAGAAGTTTAGGGAAAAAGAGTAAAAAGAAATGAATAAAGCCTCCAAGAAATATGGGACTATGTGAAAAGACCAAATCTATGCCTGGTTGGTGTACCTGAAAGTGACGGGGAGAATGGAACCAAGTTGAAAACCACTCAGCAGGGTATTATCCAGGAGAACTTCCCCAACCTAGCAAGGCAGGCCAACATTCAAATTCAGGAAATACAGAGAATGCCACAAAGATACTCTTTGAGAAGAGCAACTCCAAGAAACATAATTGTCAGATTCACCAAAGTTGAAATGAAGGAAAAAATGTTAAGGGCAGCCAGAGAGAAACATCAGGTTACCCACAAAGGGAAGCCCATCAGACTAACAGCAGATATCTCAGCAGAAACACTACAAGCCAGAAGAGAGTGTGGGCCATATATTCAACATTCTTAAAGAAAATAATTTTCAACCCAGAATTTCATATCCAGCCAAACTAAGCTTCATAAGTGAAGGAGAAATAAAATCCTTTATAGACAAGCAAATGCTGAGAGATTTTGTCACTACCAGGCCTGCCCTACCAGAGCTCCTGAAGGAAGCACTAAACATGGGAAGGAACAACCAGTACCAGCCACCGCAAAAACATGCCAAAATGTAGAGACCATTGATGCTAGGAAGAAACTGCATCAACTAACAAGGAAAATAACCATCTAACATCATAATGACAGAATCAAATTGACACATAACAATATTAACCTTAAATGTAAATGGGCTAAATGCTCCAATTAAAAGACACAGACTGGCAAATTGGATAAAGAGTCAAGACCCATCAGTGTGCAGTATTCAGGAGACCCATCTCACGTGCAGAGACACACATAGGCTCAAGATAAAGGGATGGAGGAAGATCTACCAAGCAAATGGAAAACAAAAAAAGACAGGGGTTGCAATCCGAGTCTCTGATAAGACAGACTTTAAACCAACAAAGATCAAAAGGGACAAAGAAGGCCATTACATAATGGTAAAGGGATCAATTCAACAAGAAGAGCTAACTATCCTAAATATATATGCACCCAATACAGGAGCACCCAGATTCATAAAGCAAGTCCTTAGAGACCTACAAAGAGACTTAGACTCCCACACAATAATAATGGGAGACTTTAACACCCCACTGTCAACATTAGACAGATCAACAAAACAGAAAGTTAAAAAGGATATCCAGGAATTGAACTCAGCTCTGCACCAAGCGGACCTAATAGACATCTACAGAACTCTCCACCCCAAATCAACAGAATATACATTTTTCTCAGCACCACATCACACTTATTCCAAAATTGACCACATAGTTGGAAGTAAAGCACTCCTCAGCAAATGTAGAAGAACAGAAATTATAACAAACTGTCTCTCAAACCACAGTGCAATCAAATTAGAACTCAGGATTAAGAAACTCACTCAAAACCGCTCAACTACATGGAAACTGAACAACCTGCTCCTGAATGACTACTGGGTACATAATGAAATGAAGGCAGACATGAAGATGTTCTTCGAAACCAACGAGAACAAAGACACAACATACCAGAATCTCTGGGACACATTTAAAGCAGTGTGTAGAGGGAAATTTATAGCAGTAAATGCCCACAAGAGAAAGCAGGAAAGATCTAAAATTGACACCCTAACATCACAAGCAAGAGCAAACACATTCAAAAGCTAGCAGAAGGCAAGAAATAACTAAGATTGTAGCAGAAATGAAATAGAGACATAAAAAACCCTTCAAAAATATCATTGAATGCAGCAGCTGATTTTTTGAAAAGATCAACAAAATTGATAGACCCCAGCAAGCCTAATAAAAAAGAAAAGAGAAGAATCAAATAGACACAATAAAAAAGGATAAAGGGGATATCACCACCAATCCCACGGAAATACAAACTACCATCAGAGAATACTATAAACACCTCTACGCAAATAAACTAGAAAATCTAGAAGAAATGAATAAATTCCTGGACACATACACTCTCCCAAGACTAAACGACAAAGAAGTTGAATCCCTGAATAGACCAATAACAGGATCTGAAATTGAGGTAGTAATTAATAGCCTACCAACCAAAAAAAGTCCAGGACCAGACAGATTCACAGCCAAATTCTACCGGAGGTACAAGGAGGAGCTGGTACCAGTCCTTCTGAAACTACTCCAATCAATAGAAAAAGAGGGAATCCTCCCTAACTCATTTTATGAGGCCAGCATCATCCTGATACCAAAGCCTGGCAGAGACACAATAAAAAAAGAGAATTTTAGACCAATATCCCTAATGAACATCGATGCAAAAATCCTCAATAAAATAGTGGCAAACCGAATCCAGCAGCACATCAAAAAGCTTATCCACCATGATCAACTGGGCTTCATCCCTGGGATGCAAGGTTGGTTCAACATATGCAAATCAATAAGTGTAATCCAGCATATAAACAGAACCAACGACATAAACCACATGATTATCTCAATAGATGCACAAAAGGCCTTTGACAAAATTCAACAGCCCTTCATGCTAAAAACTCTCAATAAATTAGGTATTGATGGGATGTATCTCAAAATAATAAGAGCTATTTATGACAAACCCACAGCCAACATCATACTGAATGGGCAAAAACTCGAAGCATTCCCTTTGAAAACTGGCACAAGACAGGGATGCCCTATCTCACCACTCCTATTCAACATAGTGTTGGAAGTTCTGACCAGGGCAATCAGGCAAGAGAAAGAAATAAAGGGTATTCAATCAGGAAAAGAGGAAGTCAAATTGTCTCTGTTTGCAGATGACATGACTGTATATTTAGAAAACCCCATTGTCTCAGCCCAAAATCTCCTTAAGCTGATAAGCAACTTCAGCAAAGTCTCAGGATACAAAATCAATGTGCAAAAAATCACAAGCATCCTTATACACCAATAACAAACAGAGAGCCAAATCATGAGTGAACTCCCATTCACAATTGCTTGCAAGAGAATAAAATACCTAGGAATCCAACTTACAAGGGATGTGAAGGACCTCTTCAAGGAGTGCTACAAACCACTGCTCAATGAAATAAAAGAGGACACAAACAAATGGAACAACATTCCATGCTCATGGATAGGAAGAATCAATATCGTGAAAATGGCCATACTGCCAAAGGTAATTTATAGATTCAATGCCATCCCCATCAAGCTACCAATGACTTTCTTCACAGAATTGGAAAAAACTAAAGTTCATATGGAACCAAAAAAGACACGCATTGCCAAGACAATCCTAAGCCAAAAGAACAAAGCTGGAGGCATCACACTACCTGACTTCAAACTATACTACAAGGCTACAGTAACCAAAACAGCATGGTACTGGTACCAAAACAGAGATATAGACCAATGGAACAGAACAGAGCCCTCAGAAATAATACCACACATCTACAACCATCTGATCTTTGACAAACCTGACAAAAACAAGAAATGGGGAAAGGATTCCCTATTCAGTAAATGGTGCTGGGAAAACTGGCTAGCCATATGTAGAAAGCTGAAACTGGATCCCTTCCTTACACCTTATACAAAAATTAATTCAAGATGGATTAAAGACTTAAATGTTAGACCTAAAACCATAAAAACCCTAGAAAAAAACCTAGGCAATACCATTCAGGACATAGGCATGGGCAAGGACTTCATGTCTAAAACACCAAAAGCAATGGCAACAAAAGCCAACATTGACAATTGGGATCTAATTAAACTAAAGAGCTTCTGCGCACCAAAAGAAACTACCATCAGAGTGAACAGGCAACCTACAGAATGGGAAAAAAATTTTGCAATCTACTCATCTGACAAAGGGCTAATATCCAGAATCTACAAAGGACTCAAACAAATTTACAAGAAGAAAAAAAAAACAACCCCATCACAAAGTGGGCAAAGGAGACGAGCAGACACTTCTCAAAAGAAGACATTTATGCAGCTAACAGACACATGAAAAAATGCTCATCATCACTGGCCATCAGAGAAATGCAAATCAAAACCACAATGAGATACCATCTCACACCAGTTAGAATGGCGATCATTAAAAAGTCAGGAAACAACAGGAGCTGGAGAGTATGTGGAGAAATAAGAACACTTTTACACTGTTGGTGGGACTGTAAACTAGTTCAACCATTGTGGAAGACAGTGTGGCGATTCCTTAAGGATCTAGAAGTAGAAATACCATTTGACCCAGCCATCCCATTACTGGGTATATACCCAAAGGATTATAAAGCATGCTGCTATAAAGACACATGCACACGTATGTTTATTGCAGCACTATTCACAATAGCAAAGACTTGGAACCAACCCAAATGTCCAACCACGATAGACTGGATTGAGAAAATGTGGCACATATACACCATGGAATACTATGTAGCCATAAAAAAGGATGAGTTCATGTCCTTTGTAGGGACATGGATGAAGCTGGAAACCATCATTCTCAGCAAACTATCTCAAGGACAAAAAACCAAACACTGCATTTTCTCACTCATAGGTGGGAATTGAACAATGAGAACACATGGACGCAGGAAGGGGAACATCACACTCCGGGGACTGTTGTGGGGTCGGGGGAGAGGGGAGGGATAGCATTAGGAGATATATCTAATGCTAAATGACGAGTTAATGGGTGCAGCACACCAACATGGCACATGTATACATATGTAACAGACCTGCACATTGTGCACATGTACCCTAAAACTTAAAGTATAATAATAATAAAATAAAGAAAATGTGGCACATATACACCACGGAATACTATGCAGCCATAAAAAAGGATGAGTTCATGTCCTTTGTAGGGACATGGATGAAGCTGGAAACCATCGTTCTCAGCAAACTATTGCAAGGACAAAATCCAAACACCGCATGTTCTCACTCTCAGGTGGGAATTGAACAATGAGAACACTTGGACACAGGAAGGGGAACATCACACACTAGAGCCTGTCATGGGGTTGGGGGAGGGGGGAGGGATAGCATTAGGAGATACACCTAATGTAAATGAAGAGTTAATGGGTGCGGGAAACCACCATGGCACATGTATGCATACGTTACAAACCTGCACGTTGTCCACATGTACCATAGAACTTAAAGTATAATAAAAAAAATTGTCGATTCACTCCAATTGATGAAGAGATGAATAAAAATTAAAAGCTTAAAAAAATAAAAGGGGACATTTTTGACAATTCATGCTCCTAAACTACCAGCTCCTTATATTCCTTCACTCTGCAGAACTGCAGACTAGCATGTCACCACCTTGAAGGTATTTGATATTCTGCTGCTTTTGGGCTTTTTCATTCAGCCTTCCCCTTTCTCCAACCAGAGGATCCTTTTCTATCATCTTTACCATGACATGCCCAAATGTATTACCTCTATACCTTCACCCACTCCATTAGACTGTTCCCGCTTATGTGGAATTCCCTGCATGATGTTTCTTTTTCTTCTGTTTATATTAAGTCATTACTTCACCTTTTCTTTAAAACTTAAACCTTTCAACTGTAGCCATCCCAAGGAGGTACATGACCCAAAGCATACTGGTGTTGCTTTTCTTCTTTACCCCCTTTGTATTCTCTCTCTCTCTTTTTTTGAGTCGGGGTCTCACTCTGTTGCCCAGGGCAGAGTGCAGTGGTGCGATATCACAACTCACTGCAGTGCTGGTGAACACCTGGGCTCAAGCAGTCCTCCTACCTCAGCCTCCTGAGTAGCTGTGACCAGAGGCATGCCACTATGCCTGACTAATTTTTGTTTTTTTTTAGAGATGGGGTCTCACTATGTTGCCTAGGCTGGTCTTAAATTCCTAGGCTCAAGTAGTCCTCCTGCCTCAGCCTCCCAAAGTGCTGGGATTACAGGTATGAGCCATCACACCCAACCGGTATTCTCATTTGTAATATAAATACAATAATATCTGCTTTTCCTGTTTTATATATGTATAATAAATATAAAATTATAAAATGTATGAAAAAGCACTTTGAAAAGATGTAGAAGCTCAATATTGAAGCAAATAAAGGTAGAGCCTTTGTGGTTGAAGGAAGGGTTGGAAGAATCCTGGAGCTATACCTGTTGGCTTCTCTTCTCTGTTAGCAGCCCTGGAGGGGTACCATGGAACTGCTAAAACTTCTCAGGGCGTGATTTGAAAGTGGTTAACTGGATCCAACCTGTTTTTTTTTTTTTTTTTTTTTTTTTTGGTAGAGAGAACTGACCCAAAGAGACTGGGTGAATTAATGTCAAGCAGCTTATAAAAAAGATTTTCCACCTTGCCTCACTTTGTTTTGCATAATGGTTGTAATCAGTAGTATTCTAAGCAATCTGTAATTTTTATAACATTAGCTGAAACTGTTCTTGTAACTGACATTGTGATAATTCCCCAACATTCATTCCACCTCATTCCGTCTCCAAGCCAATTAATATTACTCTATTCCTCATGGCAGTGTTTGGTTCAGGAATGAGCATGTGATCCAATTCTGGCAAGCAAGAGGTAGTTCAAGGAAACATTTTCTTTCTCTTTAATGAGTCCCAGAATGATACAATTGCCATGTAATACCTGAATTGGCCTCTTGTTAATAGTCTAAGGAAGAGGCCCAAGAATGGAAAGTGGAGACATGAAAATAACTAGTCTATATTGAACTATATCGAGTATCCAGGTCAACCAGCCTGCCTAACTTTGTGGTCCCTGTTATAGGATAGTAAATTTCCTGATTATTTTGTGGTTTAGTTATGGTTTTCTGATATTTATAGCTAAAGCATCCTAAGTGTTACTGACACTTTGTGTTTTTCATTACCAAATACTGTGTTTTGTACAAATTTATGGATGTTTAAAACATAAAATGATTGGTTTATGACATTTATGTCATAGTTAACTTTTCCAAGGTCGTCTACTCTTAAAATAAATTCCTCTGACTCCCTGATTATCTTTTTCCTCCATTCTTCCAAAACTCTGTAAGGATAGAGTTTTGGGATAGAGTTTTGCTTTTCTCAAAGTCTTTGTTTCAGTGAGCTCAGACTTTAGTCAGCCATTCACTTCATGTGCATGACGGCATACATAGTTTTTCAATCTCACATTTCTCTTAATCTCTGGTTCTATATGTTCAACTACCTGTAGATCATCTCCTTTTGTGACTTATTGTAACTTCAGGGTTAACAGGTCACACATTGGGTTCTTCACTCTCCCATCCACTCTACCTCTGAAAAAAAAAATTCATGCAACTCTCCTTTCAAAGGAAGCTATCTTGCTGCCTGTGAAGGTGAATCATGACTGATACATAGAAACTTTATTTGAGGGAATTCCTCATGTTCAGCCTTTTGTAATTTGAAAAAAATGTAAATGAAGGACTTTTTTGAGAATAGTTAACCTATGGTTCAGGCTTAATAATTTGTATTTTTTTAGCTTTTGAAAGAATCTGTCTCAGGACATTTTCTGTCTCTTATTTTGTGTAATTTTAAATATACTTTTTGTCTCTTCCATCAGTGAAGCACACTTTCTATTTCCTTTCCATTTTTGTGTTTCTTCCTTTCGCATTTCATGGTCCCCTTTTCCTTTCTTCCAGTTTCACTTAGTCACTCTAGAATCATCTTTGACTCATTTTTGACTCATCTTTTTCCTTTATTCTCTTTGTTCAGTCTATTATATTTTTTTTTAGAATGTCTCATATTTTTTACTTTCCATTTTTCAATACTATAGACACTCATCATCTCATGCCTGGATTAATATAATAGCCTCTTAGCCAGTGTTCTTTTCTCAAGTTTTTATTCATTCTTTTTGCCAGACTAAGTTTACTAAGATACTGATTTAACTTCTATGTGCCTGACACACAGGAGGTACTTGGTATATGTAGAAGAAATGATAAATAATTCTCCTTTGCCTACCAAATCAAGTCCCAGGCTTCTTTAATTGGCTTTCCAGAGCTTTCATGATCTGGTCCATTCTACATGTTCAATATTGTTTGTTATTGCTTCTTAACAAGCATCTTCCATTCTATTTTAGCCAAAATTCTTTGTTGCCATTAGCATAATTCTTAGTTCTTTCTGCCTTTTGGTTTTGTTTTCCTCTACATCCCTTCCCATACTTGAAATGCTTTCTCTCAATGTACTTGTACTAAACAGGGTTGGACCAGGAAAGAGGTGGCACGGTGGAATGGTAATTGAGAAAAGATTAATGAACTACGTAAATGAAAGCTATTTACGTAGTTGTAGACAGAGGTAAGGGAAAACAACAAGGGATGGTGAAGCACCCCACAGATAAAAGTAGTGGGAGAATGATTAGCACACCTGTACCTGAAGAGATAAGGGAATGAAGCAGATGCTGGAATCTGGAAAGAGCTGTAGCTATAGCTGCAGAAGAAAGCCTAAGGCAGAAGCTGTGGGGTTTTTTTTTCTTTTTCTTTTTTTTTTTTAAAGAGACTAGGGTAGGGGGTGGGTTTTTATTTTTAAGAGATGGGGGCGGTGGGGGGTCACTGTGGCGCAATTATCGGTCACTGCAGCTTTGAACTCCTAGGCTCAAGTGATCCTCCAGCTTCAGCTTCCTGAGTAGCTAGGACCAGAGGCATACACCATCATGCCTGGCTTATCTTTTTATTTATTTAGAGACAGGGTCTTGCTTTGTTGCCCAGAATAGTTTTGAACTCTTGGCTTCAAGCAATCCTCCTGCCTTAGCCTCCCAAATCACTAGGATTAGCTGTGATCTTTGGTAAAGATATAGAGGTATTACCAATTTGTGGTTAGTAGGGAGGGAGCTGGTAAAATACCTCATTCTCTTTCTCTTTATAGCCTACTGATCTACTAGTACCTCCCACAGATTTAACCCAATCAGGAGCCAGAAGGCAGAGAGTTTGCTATACCCACAGATATCAGCCACATAGGGCACAGAGCAGTGTGGAGAAAGGGTGGGAAGTGAATCAGGAGTGATAAATGGAGGATATCCACTATACTACTCATTCTTCAAGGCCCAGCTCAAGGTCTACCCCCTTCATTCAAACTTTGGTTCATTCCTTCGATATATACTAATTGTTCTCTTTATGCCAGACATCAATTTGTCTGCCTGCTTTTCTAAGAATAGAGCCCTATCTCTTGACTCACGTGGTTACTTTAGCAGTCATTTTATGCAGTGTACATATCCAAAGGTGATATTTGAACTAAGACCAATGAGTCCTTTCTCCTGGATTTTGAATTTGGAGTTAGGATATACTTGGGTGAGTTTTTCCCTGGGTGGCTAAAGCTGTAACATGTAGAACTTTGAAGGTATTAGTAGCCCTGTTTTCTGCTGCTCCTCTTTCAGCTTCCTTTTGGGTTTCCTCCTATCTCAGTTGACTTTATTTCTCAGCCTTATATACTGGCTTCTTCTCTAATCTATGAATTTTTCTTAGGATTGAGTCATTTTCCATTTTCTATCCTCTAATAACTCTCTATGTGATAGTACCTGTTTTTACAGCTTAAATACGATTTTAAAACTACAAAAAATGTTTTTATTTTACGAAAAATAGAAAATACTAATCACATAATGAAGAAAATAAAAATTTCCTATAATCTTGCCACTCTAATAAATCAACTTACTTCTACAAGAGTCAAAAGTTTGTTGTTTATCCAGTTCTTAAGACCTTTAAAAAAATTAAGTAGTCAGGATTCTTAATTGCACACTGATTTAGTCAGCAAAGGAATTTATTGGAAGGGCATTGGTTATCTCGGACTTGAAAAATGATTACAAACAAGGGAGGCTATGCAGTATCCAAGACTATAGCATAAAACCAGCTTCCACTTTTGAATACTGTATATCACAGCTTATACCATCATTGCTGACCATAGTGGATGCTGCTGATGCTGCTGCTGCGGTATCACTCACCCATAGAAGCTTGAAGTTACTACACTTCCCTGACTATCTACCAACAGATGGATTTGCAGTAGTCCTTGTTTTTTTGTGATAACTAATCCAATATCCAAGACAGGTGCATGAGATTAGCAGAGCCTAGCCTCATGCTTATAAAGCTGGTACCTGGCATCTTTGCTTCTCTGGTAGGCAGCCGGCTCTTATAATGTAGAAAAACTGGCCGGGCGCGGTGGCTCACGCCTGTAATCCCAGCACTTTGGGAGGCCGAGGCGGGCGGATCAGAAGGTCAGGAGATCGAGACCATCCTGGCTAACATGGTGAAACCCCGTCTCTACTAAAAATACAAAAAAAATTAGCCGGGCGTGGTGGTGGGCGCCTGTAGTCCCAGCTGCTCGGGAGGCTGAGGCAGAAGAATGGCACAAACCCAGGAGGCGGAGCTTGCAGTGAGCCGAGATCGTGCCACTGCACTCCAGTCTGGGCGACAGAGCAAGACGCCGTCTCAAAAAAAAAAAGAAAAGAAAAGAAAAGAAAAACTGCCCACTGCCTACCTGAGAAGCAAAGATGCCAGGTACTAACTTTATAAGGGAGTTCAGATACTGTGTAGCCGAGACCGAAAATCAGATTCTTGAGTATTTAATATAGTCAATATACACAGAAGAACAGCACAATCAATTGCACACTAATTCAAAAGTTGGTATTTCAAGATTTTAATGTGTTTAATTGGTATCTGCTAAACTCAATGAACATGTGACTTCATAAATGAAGACTGCTTTTACATCCTTCAGTTCCACCCTCCACAACACTGCCAGAGTTATTTTTCTAAAATGCAAATTTTGTTATGTCATTCTTCTACTCAGAATCCTTCAGTGGTTAATTCCCCATTTTGTTTTATAGTATAACATTCAAACTCTGTAGCGTAACGTACAAGTCCTTCTCAATACTTGAATCCTGCCAAATTTCTAGACACAACTACCAATATTCTACTCTGTCCCCTGAAATAACACATTAGCTCCAGTCATATCTTATTAGTTCTGTTTCCCTGAAAAATATCGTTCTCTTTCATGTTTCTGTGGCTTTGTGCATGTAGAACCTTTTGCCTGGAATGCCTACCCCTTTGTTGTCTTCTTTGCAAATTGATCTTTAAAGATTCAGTTCAAATAGCACCTTCACATGTAATACCGTTTTGATACAGTTTATGTTTTTTATTCATTTTTCTAATATAGCACTCATTACATTGTATTGTAATTATTTCTTACATAATTTTTCCTATTAGAGGCTAATAAATTTGGGAATTGAGATTTCCTTGTTATCTTTTTATCTCAGAAGGTATTTGTTTAATAAATAATGGAAACACTGTACTTCTGGTTAGTTAGTTGATTTTGTTAGTACACTCCTTTTAAGATTAAAAGTCATGCAGTCAATCTCTTTATGATTGATTAACTTTGCCTGATCCACAACCGCAGATTATGTTCCCACCTTGGCTAATCTTGCAAGGGAACTTGCAAGGGAATTATAACAAATTATAATTATAGGCTTAAGGATGAACTTTGAAACTGTCAGGAAAGTACCTTGTTTTAGTGAAATATGTGTACTGAATTTTCTGTTTGATATGTTTCTTATTAAGGAACTAAAAAAAGCAGCCTCAGACTTGATAAAGTCCAAAGTCACATGTCAATATAAGATGGGAGAAGAAAACATCAATCTAACAATTAAAGAACAAAAATTTCAAGAACTTCAAGAAAGACTCAACATGGTATTTTATTAAATGTATTTGTTTATAACATTAATATTTTCAATAAAACTTATGAGAATTTCAGAATTGTAACACAAAAATACTCCGCCTTTGCAAAGTCAATATGCATAGTTAAAGGTATTATTAATCTGTTTTTTTATTAATTTTTGCCATAGACTTTAGGACAATAAGATTTGGCTAGAACTATTTTATTTCTACTTGAATATGGTTTTGAGTAATCTTGTGGTACAGTGGTATCTCCAGGACAGCTTTGGAGATGAGTTTATAGTTTTTAACATTTACAAGTTTGCACCAAGCTTTGTTGGTATATAAAATCTTCTTCAGTTCACTGAAGTCACTGTTTAAACCACAAACAAATGTGGGTACTTTGGGCCAGGTGCAGTGGCTTACGCCTGTAATCCCAGCACTTTAGGAGGCTGAGGTGGGTGGATCACTTGAGGTTAGGAGTTCAAGACCAGCTTGGCCAACATGATGAAACCTCGTCTCCACTAAAAATACAAAAATTAGCTGTGCGTAATGGTGGGCATCTGTAATCCCAGCTACTTGGGAGGATGAGGCATGGAATCCGCTTGAACCCAAGAGGTGGAGGTTGCAGTGAGCCAAGATCGCACCACTGCACTCCAGACTGGGTGATAGAGCGAGACACAGTCTCAAAACAAACATACAAATAAACAAACAAAAAAACAAATGTGGGTACTCTGGGGGTAGGAATAGGTCATAACACTCCAAAATTTGTTTAGTACTGAATTGAATGTAGAATTTGCTGAATTTTATATCATAACTTTAAAACTATTCAAATTTTAAAGGAATTGGAATTAAATGAGAAGATTAATGAAGAGATTACCCATATTCAAGAAGAAAAACAGGTAAGCAATCATAAGCTATTTGGAAGCCAGTAAATATTCTAAAAATCAGATAAAATGTAAAAAATAAGTGGAATCATGCATAGCACATAGTAGGCACTCAGTTAATGTGTATTAAATGTACATGTGTATACTTTTTAAAATCAGTCTCAATATACTTTCATTAAAAAATACCTTAGTTTTTTCCTTGATAGATTAGACCAGTGATACCCTAACAAATAATTATTGAAGTTTATTTATGTGTAGTGCATACTTTTTCAGGACATTATACTCTCATTTGAGTCTATTTGATGCTTACAATTATTCATTTTTTAAAATATGTGTGAAAGAATATTCCTCCTGTTTCTGTTTTCTCTTCTGCTTTTCCTCCATTTGACTCTGAATGTATGCCATGACACCCTAGCCCATTATGACATTTTATAATATTATACCTCATATGACATTTTAGTAGTGATATATTTACTGTTGGGAGGTGGCAAGCCAAAAAATCTTTATTTTAGTTTTGAATTCTTCACATGTGTCTTAGAATCCACAGTTTATTCCAAAAAACTTTGTTAATTATTTGAGGGACTCTTGGAAATAATGTAATAGAAATTTTAGATACCATTAGATGTGCCATTAGTTTAATATAAAGTATTGAAATTAAACTATAAATACAGTGAGTTAGGAAACTAGAAAATGTATGTGAAGAATGATTTTAGAAACATACCTATCTTAAAACTTTTAAATTGATATATTTGTGTATTTTCAAAGGATATCATCATTTCTTTCCAACATATGCAGCAGTTACTTCGGCAACAAATTCAAGCTAATACTGAAATGGAGGCAGAATTGAAGGTGCTAAAAGAAAATAATCAGGTTCGTTCTATCTGTCTGTCTGTCTGTCTATCTATCTGTGTTTTAGTATATTTTCACTAATTAACTTCCTGTTTAGTTTATTTTTCTGTCCAGTTTTATTGAGATTATTTTGAATTCTAGGGGTAAGATATTGACTTCCTTCAACTTGTTTTCAGTGTCTAAAGTAATGAACATATATTATTCACATTTATGTCACTAGTGAAATGTTAAATTTTATCAAGTATCTGACTTAATTTTGCAAAATGAAAAATCCACTCTGTTACAACAGAATGAATAGGATTTTTTTTTTGTCTTAGAATTGTGGTCACAATCCAACACTGAAAATAAAAGGTGAAAGTGTCAACTCAGTTTAAGAGAGCATTCAGCCAGCTCTCAGAAGTTTGGGGTAGATCTCTCTTCACAGGAATATGATAAAATTGGCGCTGTTACCACAACAAACACCTCATCATCCTCTTTCCAGTATATATAAGGAAATGACTGGGAAGGAGAAGACATTGTTGGCCATTGATAATTTGGGAGTGCAGGGTTCAAAAAAGAGGCTTTTTCTCTTACATCCCTAGCAGAGGCAGGCGCATTTCCCCTTATAAAGCTGAGTGAAGAAATGTACAGGAAAATCTCTTGTAGGGATTGAGATACAAGAAGGGGAGACTGCCTTTTGTTCCCTGGCTAGATGCTTGAAATGCTGTAGAAAGGTGAAGGTCCACTCTAGTGTTACCAGTAAAGTAAAATGTGATAAGTTCATGTGGAAGTGGTTGGCACGTATTTCTTTTCTTTTGTTTTGTTTTGTTTTGTTTTTCTTTCTTTCTTTTTTTTTTGTTTGAGATGGAGTCTTGTTCTGTCACCCAGGCTGGAGTGCAGTGGCATGATCTTGGCTCACTGCAACCTCCACCTCCTGGGTTCAAGCGATTCTCCTGCCTCAGCCTCCCGAGTAGCTGGAATTACAGGTGCCCACTACCACAGCCAGCTAGGCATATGTTTCTTGAAGTTTGGAAGTTTACCAAGAACATATCAACTGATGCCCAGTTTTGGTCTACAAATTTCAAAAAGGAAAGTTTTTAGAGTAATCTGTGCTAATGGAGCTTGAAGTGTATTATTCTTAAAAAACCTTAGTGGTTCTTTGGCTTCACATGAAGGAACCATGGAGATTAGTGGAGGAGCAGGAACTGCCCTGTAAGCCACTGGGCCAAGTGATGGGATGTCCAATTCAGAAAAGGGGTTGGGGATATGTTCCACTGGGGTGGCCAGTAGAAGATACTTCTATCCTTCTAAAGGGGTTCAGGGTAAAGCTGAACATTTCCCAAGAAAACTACAATTACCTCCCACATAAAAACTACCATCAGTCAAGGCCAGGGCCAGTTTCATGAGTATGTGACCAGTGCACTGGCATCATAGGGACCCACACTCAGAATGGCCTTCTGCTTCAGGTTTAATGTTTCATGGTCACTGTCTTGAAGATTTTATTTTGAATTTACATTCTGTAAATGAAGTCTAATGGTAATGGAGCATGTGCTAGGGGCTTGAATCCTCAGCTCAGGTATTTCCACTACCTCCCAGGACTGGTTCTTGGCTGCTGGCTCTTCCGCCCTCTGGGGACCTACGTCCTGCTTTGCCTCCTACTCCTCGTTCCCGTCCTGCCACTGGTGCAGTTTGACTGGGTCACATTTGGGGGAAAGGTCTGTGTTCTACTGTTGACCTTTACTCTTTTGTTGGGGTGTAGGTGCAGGCAGGGAGGGCCTAGGTTGTGTGCATGTACCCCACAGTATTTTGGGGTGAGACATAACAACAGTTGTCTTTGTTGCAGGTTGGCAGTGCCTTCAAGTGTTAGGCAGGTGACTTGGTGGGGGTCTGCAGGGAGGATGAATCCCCAGTCCAGGTACTGAGTGCATACCTCCTGGCAGTTGCAGTCCCTTGAGAGTCACCCATTTGCCATGGGTTGGGGTGAAGGCCCCATGGGAAGGGAAGATTCTCTTCCCCACCCACGTCCAGGACATAGTAGATGGGTCTAGCAGCTGGCAGGACAGGGAACCTGGTAGCTGGTGGCTCTCACTCATGCTGAGTTGTGTGATGAGGCCCTTAGGCACCTTATGAGGGTCTGTGTTTGCCTGGTAAGTATCCCCAAGCCTAGGGGATCATGATATTAAATAGAAAATAAAAAGCACCATGACAAATTGAAAGAGAGGGAGGGTCTGCAAAGAAAAGAAAAAGTTGTATATTTTAGTACCTTTAGTAGCACTTTTTTCCCTGTGTTTTTCATTTTGTACCAGGCCCAACAAATTATGCAGAGTCTATCATTGAATGGAACCAAATTGAACCTGAGCAATGCAACATTTATTAATATCTCCTCACCATTGATGTTCTATGGCTTATCATGTAACGAAAGTTTTGCCTTCCTTATTTCTCTTACGTGTCCCAAATACTATAGAAGAGGGAGGGAGAGGTGGTATCCTAATGTCAGACCTCTCCCTTCTTTTAATCCCTTCACCTATTCTGATATAAGACTAGCAAAAAAAGTTTCTCTGAAAGTCCAGCTGTTAGCAAGTACTAACCTCCCATCTCCCCTGCCCACTCTATAGTTAGATAATTGGAACTATTTCTCTAATATGTTGAACCTTCTCCCAAGCAACATATGATATAATTTAACTAGGTTCTTTATGAATAGCTGTTACCAAGAGCATCTTCTAATCCAAATAAATGAGCTGAAACATAGATTTTTAGGCCAAACACAATATTAAAGATCATCTAATCCAACCATTTCATTTAATGAAAAGAGAGACCCAGGAAATGTACACAGTGTGGTTCAAAGCCTCAAAATTAGTGACAAAATTAGGATTAAATCTGTCGTGATTCTAATCCAGCACTATTTCTATAACATACTGTTAAGATATTTTTCCTAGATCTATGACAGCTTATCTAGCAATTTTGTTAGATCAGTTATACTAAGATCATAACTCTTAACTTGCCCCTTCATGAGCTCTAAATCCAGTACTTACATACTGCTGAATTCTACAGAGCCTATATACAGTTACGTGTTTCTCTGAGTTAATGGTGACTATAAATATAATTCCAGGATATTTTGACTGTGACTACCAATCATTAGATAATCAAATGCTTCTCTCTTTTTCTCTCAAATGCCTTTCTTTTTAACTGCCACAAGTATTACCTGAACCTTGATAGTATATAGAGAAGCTAGATTTTATAAAACTAAAATTTTAAAGTATTGTCAAAAACAGAATTGTCAGCTTTTTATTTTGGTAAGTAAAGATATTAAAAATGCAAACAATACAATCTATCATTACTATCATTTTATGAAAGAGAACATTTTAACATCAAACATATATTAAGGACATAATCTCAGGATAAAGGATAGTCCTTTATAAGAAAAGACATTTGATGACCTTATATTGACATTTTTTGCCATGGACTAGTGAATGTTTTGTCATGGATCAGTACTTGTCTGCAGACTGGTATCTGAGAACCACTGAAATATAGCATAACAAAATATTAATGTTGAACTGTTGCTGAGGATTATGTTGCATAGATATCTCAGGTGTTTTCTTGAGGAGCATTCTCATTCTACCTGTACTAAAAGGGATCATTACTCTTGATAATGGCCAACTGTTTTTCAGTGCTCTGCAATCATGCTGTCATCTGTCTTACTTTTCTAGTAGTAAAATTTAGAGCATAGAAAGCTAAATTCTCATGATAGGAAATATTTTCTATTGTGATTTAATTATAGTTTAGTCCAGTTATAAGCATAGTTATGTTCCTGTAGTCATAGTATTAACAAGAATAATATATTTAGTTTTTTTCATAGTATTTTTTCATAGTATTAACTAGGGTCATTTAGTTAGTTTTTGGAAGATTAAAGCATTAGCAAATGGCTTCATTGTGAACTTTCACAATATCAATTTTTTTCAGAGATGGTTTTCAAAAGAGAGAGGCATTTGGATTATCTAAGTTATTGGTAGTCATAGTCAAAAGATCCTGGAATTATATTTACAGTCACCATTAACTCAGAAAACACATAACTACATATTTATGACTACCATAGGCGCTGTAGAATTCAATGGTACATAAGTACTGGACTTAGAGCTCATGAAGGGGCAAGTTAAGAGTTGTGGTCTTAGTGTAGCTGATCTAACAAAATTGCTAGATCAGCTCTCTCTGTTATCCAGATGCAAAAATACCCCAAATAATTTCCTAATAGAATATACTATACTTAATCTTAGCCAAAAGGCCAGGAAACAATCCCTGTTAGAATATAAACTCCATGGCCTGGCACAGTGGCTCACGCCTGTGGTCCCAGCGCTTTGGGAGGCCGAGGTGGGTGGATCACCTGAGGTCAGGAATTCGAGACCAGCCTGACCAACATGGTGAAACCCCACCTCTACTAAAAATACAAAATTAGATGGGTGTCATGGCACATGCCTGTAATCCCAGCTACTCGGGAGCCTGAGGCAGAGGAATTGCTTGAACCTGGGAGGCAGAGGTTGCAGTGAGCTGAGATTGCACCACTGCACTCCAGCCTGGGCAACAAGAGTGAAACTCCGTCTCAAAAAAAAAAAAAAGAGTATAAACTCTTTAAGGACAGCAACATTTCCACTGATGTAGCATAAAAAGCTAAAACAGTGTCTGGCACATCATAGCAGCTCATTAAATTTTCTTAATGACTGAAAGATGAACATGAATAAACTCATAGTCTTTCTAAGTTTAGATATTGCCTGGTCAGGACTTCTAGTTAAGCATGTTTAACCCCACATTACATATTTTTGAAACTGCAATAAAATGACACTAATATATCCACAAGGACAAGGAAATGGGGAGGAAACAGTAATAGTACTAAAAAGTGGGAACCAGATGGACAATGGTAATTTACTTAGCACAAGAGAAGAAGTAGAAACGAAATCAAAGGTGCAGAAATGGTCAGGATTTGCAAGTATCATGTGCCTCTAGAAGTACAGTATGCAGCTGAAGGCAGAAACTAAATCTATATAAGAAGCCATTGCAATCCCATATTTTCTTTCCCACCCTGCCCAAGTAGACAGTGCTCCTCTCCTACTTTGCAGAAGATTGGAGGTTTCTGTTGGAGAATCTGAGGAACAGCTGAGGTTTGGGGGGAAGGGGATCTAGTGGTTTGCTGGAGCCAGCTTTTGCCAGTGGGGGCTGGTTGTTAGATATTAAGGAATTTTGTGAACTGGTTGTTAAACCAATGGTAGTTTGAAATTAACTATGATGTGAATATTTAACATGAATGAAAATGGCAAATGCCTCAAATCAGGCTTTTTTTTTTTTTTTGAGAGCTAGTTTATCAGTTTACTACTACGAGTATGATATTGACAAGAGGTTGGAAGTCTGAATTCTAAATGGTGAGACCTTCCAGCCCAGTATCCTCATTGAGAGGGCAACTAGCCTAACTCTCTGGCAGAAAAATGGAAGATTCCTTTCAGGGGAAGCTAACCTGCCCGAGAGAAAAGACTATAGCTGCTACAGTTAAGCTTTCCCAGTGAAATAGCTCAGCCAGATCAATCCACAGTGAAACCTACCATTTGACAAAACTTTCAGCCAGCATTTTAATACCTCATTTTTAAATATGAATAGGTAGTTAAGGATTACTGGACATTTGAAGAAAGCCTCTGATATGGTTTAGATATTTATCCACCCAAATCTCATGTTGAGATGTAAACCCCAATGTTGGAGGTGGGACCTGGTGGGAGGTGTGTGCGTCACGGGGGCAGATTCCTTATGGCTTGGTGCTGTCCTCAAGATAGTGAATGATCTCGTTTTCACGAGATCTGGTTGTTTAAAAGTGTGTGGCACCTGCCTGCCTTGCTCTTGCTCCTGCTTTCACCATGTGATGTGCAAGCTCCCACTTCACCTTCCACCATGAGTAAAAGCTTCCTTAGGCCTCACCAGAAGCAGATGCCAGTGCTATGCTTCCTGTACAGCCTGCAGAACCATGGGCCAATTAAACTTCTTTTCTTATAAATTACCCAGTCTCAGGTATTTCTTTAACAATGCAAGAACAACCTAATACAGCCTCCAATATGAAAAACAGACAAAACAAATAGGATAATGAAAAAACCTTGTAGAAACTAAGAAAGTATGTTTAGTTAAAGGGAATATGTTAATCTACAAAACAAGAATTTTGAGTTTATAAAGAAACTCAGAGAATAAACGAGAGCCCTTTAGATAAATATATTAGCAGACATAAAAAGTACAAAGGAAAGGTTGGAAGATAATACTGTCTTCTAAAAAGTAGAACCAAAAGACAAAAAGATGGAAAACAGGAAAGGAAATTGGGGGGTCAGTTCAAGATGTCTGGTGAGTGTCAGAGAGAGAAGAGAGAAAATAGAGGGAGAGGAAATGACCAAAGAATTAATACAAAAAAGTCATCCAGGCCTGACAGATGTAAGTTTATCTTGCCCAATACCAATGCATATCATTATGAAATTTTGTACAACACATAAAGAAAAGATTCTAAAATTGTACAAGAAAGTAGGTAATATACAGGGATTAAGAATGAGAGTGGTAACACAAGGTTTCAGACTTCTCAGTGGCAACACTGGAACGTAGAAGACAATAGAACCATGCCTTCAGATGTTGGGAAAAAATTGATTTCTGAAGCAGAGTTGTATTGTATTTAGCCAAACAAATTGCCGAGTATTGGTAGAATCAAGACATCTTCAGACATATAGGGTCTCAAAAAATTTACCACCCTATGCCTCCTTTATCAAGAAGTAGTAGAATGTTTGTGCTACCAAGACAAGGGAGTAAACCAAGACAGGAAACTATGGGATCTGGGAAACAGGAGACTCATGACAGAACTGAAAAAGGGTATCCTCAGAGATAACCTAATTTGTATAGCTGACAGAGAGAAGTAGGTCAAAATTGTAATGAAAGGATGGATGTCTCCAAAAAACTGAAATCGAGAGAATACCTGAAGTAGGTAGTTTCCTTTAGATAGAGTTATTGGGTGCAGACAAGAAATGATTGATATTGCTAGTGCACTGTTTTAAGAGCATGATGTTCTTGGCCAATTATTATTACTAGGATAGAGACTGTGGTTTATTCTCCCATATCTTCTCTAAAGTTTTATTTGTTTATCTTCTAAAATACAGTATGTTATCAATAAAAAAATTTGTTAGAATGTTAAAGTACTAAGCATCTATTATACACACTATAAATATTTAGAAACTACTCTGTTTTATAGTTATGCACCACATAACAATGTTTTGTCAGTGACAGACCACGTGTAAGATGGTGGTCCCATAAGATTATAATGGAGGTAAAAATTCCTATCATCTGCTAGTATCATAGCCATCATATTGTCATAGCACAACACATTACTCACACGTTTGTTGGTAATGCTAGTATAAACAAACCTGCTGCACTGTCATATAAAAGTGTAGTACATACAATTATATGTAGTACATAATACTTGATAATAATGACTGTTACCAGTTTATGTATTTATTATACTATACTACTTATCATCATTTTAGTTTACTCCTCCTATTTATTAAAAAAAAAAGTTGGCCAGGCGTGGTGGCTCATGCCTGTAATCCCAGCACTTTGGGAGGCCAAGGCGGGCGGATCACGAGGTCCGGAGTTCAAAACCAGCTTGACCAACATGGTGAAACCCCGTCTCTACTAAAAATACAAAAATTAGCCAGTGTGGTGGTATGCACCTGTAATCCCAGCTACTCAGGGGGCTGAGGCCGGAGAATCGCTTGAACCTGGGAGATGGAGGTTGCAGTGAGCCGAGATCGCGCCATTGCAGCCCAGCCTGGGCAACAGAGCAAGACTTTGTCTCAAAAAAAAAAAAAAAAAAGAAAAAGAAAAAGAAAAAAAAGTTAACTGTGAAACAGCCTCAGGCAGGTCCTTCAGGAAGTATTCCAGAAAAGGGAGTATTATGATAGGAAATGACAGTTCTGTGGGTATTACTGTCCCTGAAGATTTTCCAGAGGGAAAATATGTGGAGGTGGAAGACATAATATGGATAATCCTGACTCTGTGTAGGCCTAGGCTAATGTGTGTGTTTGTGTGTTAGTTTTTTTTATAATATTTACAGTGGCTTTATTAATATTCATTAAAAACTAGAAATAGCATAAATGTTCAACCCAGAGGTCAATGTGTAAACAAACTATGGTGCATCCATACAACAGATTACTCAGCGGTAAAAGAGAACCAACTACTGATTCACACAACAAAATGGATGAATCTCAAATGCATTTTGCTAAGTAGATGAAGCCAGACTCAAAAGGCTACATACAGTGTTGTTCCGTGATTCCATTTATAGGGCATTCTACAAAAGCCACAATTAGAGAGACAGAAAACAGATTATTGATGGTCAGTGAAGAATAGGGGTGCTGCAAAGTGGCCCAAGGGAACTTTTGGAAGTAATAAAACTGTTCTCTATATCTTCTGGGAGTTACATGAACATATGTATTTGTTAAAATGAACAACTGGGGAGGGGAAATGGGAGCTCCTGTTTAATGGATTCAGAATTTCTATTTGAGATAATGAAAAAGTTCTGAACATGGATAGTGGTGATAGTTGTACAACATTGTGAATATACTCAGTGCCACTGAATTATACACCTAAAAATGGTTAAAATGGTAAATTTTATGTTACATATATGTATTTTTAACTTTTAGGTTCAGAGGTACATGTGCAGGTTTGTTACATAGGTAAATTGAGTCTCACATAGGTTTGGTGTACAGAGTATTTCATCACCCAGGTAATAAGTATAGTACCTGATTGGTAGTTTTTTGATCTCCCTCCACCCTCAGTAGGCCCTGGTGTCCATTGTTCCCTTCTTTGTGTCTATATGTGCTCAATGTTTAGCTCCCACTTATAAGTGAGAACATGTGGTATTTGGTTTTCTGTTCCTGTGTTAGTTTTCTTAGGATAATGGCCTCCAGCTCCATCCATGTTGCTGCAAAGGACATGATCTCACTCTTTTTATGGCTGTGTAGTATTCCATGGTGTATATGTACCACATTTTCTTTCTTCAGTCTACTGTTGATGAGCATTTATGTTGATTCTGTGCCTTTGCTATTGTGAATAGTGCTGTGATGATGTGTCTCAGTTTTTGACCAAAAAATTTAAAAAGGAAAAATATAAAAATTTAAAAATAGAAAGCTTATAGAATAAGGATATAAAGAAAGAAAATATTTTTATACAGCTGTACAATCTGTGTGTTTTAAGCTAAGTGTTATTTCAAAAGAGTCAAAAAGTTAAAAAAAAGTTTGTAAAGTCAACTAAGCTTGATTTATTATTGAAGAAAGAAAAAATTAAAAAAATTTAGTGTAGCCTAAGTATACAGCATTTATAAAGCCTATATTGGTGAGTAATAATGTCCTAGACCTTCACATTCACTGACCACTCCCTCACTGACTCACCCAGAGCAACGTTCATGGTAAGTACCTTATATAGTTACATGTGTACCATTTTTAATCTTTTATTTTTTTACTGTACCTTTTCATTTTTACTGTACCTTTTCTATGTTTAGATATCCTTAGTTATAAAAATACTATTGTGTTACAATTGCCTACACTAGTCAGTGCAGAAAGATGCTGTACAGGTTTGTAGCATAGGAGCAATAAGCTATACTATATAGTCTACGTATACCATTAGTAGGCTATACCATCTAGGTTTGTGTAAGTACACTCTATGATGTTCATACAGTGACAAAAATCACCTAATGATGGAATTATCAGAACATATCCCTGTCTATAACCAACACATGACTGTATATACCTATAAATTAAGGACCTGTTACTTTTATAAAAATATCTATGTTATCCTGAAACAGAGGCAATCAAAATAGATATTCACTGGGTACTCTTAAAATGCATAGCTTCTTATGAGCAAGAGGAGAATCTCCATGTTAAAATTGTAAAATTCGTATTAGATATGTTGCCATAATTTTACATAATTTATCTTTGCATACTGATATTCTAGATGTAATTGAGAATTCTCTAAATAGATGGAGTACTATGAATAATATGGAATTCAAATGAGATGGATTTATATATGTAATATGGAAAGTAAGCAAAACTTTTTTTTTTAAAGAAAAGCAGATGACAGAACAGTGTATGATATGGTCTCATCTGTATTTAAAAATATATATATATTTTACGTACTTTTATGGTTATATAGACAATTTCTGGAAAGATATACAAGAAACTGCTACAGTGGTTACTTCTGGGGTGGAAAACTGAGAGAATAACTTTACTTTTTTTAAAAAAAAAAATCCTTTTGTGTGGCTTGACATTTTTAACCTGAATGTGCATAGCTTTGTAAACAACTTAAAGATTCCAAATGTATTAGGCATGTAGGTAGGAGTTCTATCACTGTTTATCTTTTTATAGAAATTTACTTGGATTATCAGCAGACATTGGAAAAACCTAATAATATTGATGACACTGATTTAATAGCTTTAAAAACCTAGTCTTAGAAAACACATGGTAGTATTTTTACTCTATAAGTTTATTTTGTGGGAGGGAGAGTGTGGTAGTGATTCTGTTATGTTAGTTCAATGAAGTAATTAAGTTAATATGGTAAATATTTAAGTTATACTTAAAAAGTGTTAATTTGAAATTAAAATTAAAATTGTATTTAAGAGTTTTCTAGCCAGTTAATTTCTAAAATAAACAGATAATGGAAAAAATGTTCTATGGTAGTTAAATTTCTTTAGTAGAGTTAGGCTGGATCGTGCTACATTTCATACTTTTCAGTGCTGTACTTTATATTACCTTTTCAGCACATTAAAACTTATGCAGTGAAACTGAATAATGGCAATGTTTTTATACTCTTTTATAGCCATTTCTTTATCAAAACCTCCCCCTATTTTCTGTTAGCTAAACTATAAGCACCTTTCCATTAATTTATGAAAATTATTGTTGAGATAGCACATTATCACTGATCTGTATGGCACTTTCAGCATGTTAGAAGCAAAGGTCCAAGCAACATAAAACACATCAGAATTCATTAATGTGGTATTGATTATTTTTTGGATAATTAATTTTATTGCAGACCCTTGAAAGAGATAATGAGCTGCAAAGGGAGAAGGTAAAAGAAAATGAAGAAAAGTTTCTTAATCTTCAAAATGAGCATGAAAAAGCACTAGGAACTTGGAAAAGACATGTAAGTTTATTAAATAGAAAAATATTAAAATATTTTAAATAGTTTTAGACATTTAAAATAACTATAAATGCTAAGAAAATATTGCAAAAATATTAGAGGACTAAAATCAGACACATTTTTTTCTTGGTCTCATATTTCCAAAAAGGTGAATGCTTTTTAAAAGCTAAATTTAATGAAATTCCCTGTAATGCTTTTATGCATGGAAGACCACACAAATACATGTTTGTGTATATATGCATGCATATATATATATATACACACACATATATATATATAATTTGAGCCCCCATGTGACAAAGAAAAATTAATTTACTTTTTCATAAAACCATTGCATAGTATTTTAGTAAATGATTAAAATAATTATATATGTACTATTATTAACTGATCTATTTTGCTTTCCTCAGCAGTTTTGTTGAGATATATTAGAGCCATGTTTAGAACATGTGTGCAGTAGTTGACTTCTGTAGTATTACCATTTTATCATATTAACAACATATCATAAGGGTTGTTGTATTCTAAACATGGCTGTTTCCTTAAATCATATTTTTTTATTTTATAATAATTTTTAATTCAGCAAGGTAGATAATAGTGTAAGATGAGGTGAAATCAAGTTGTGAAATATAAAGGTTCACTTTAAACATTGGTGGACCCCAAGATTGATTATTCTATGCTAATATCAATTTTAATTGCATTTTAAATTCTTTTTAAATAAATGACAGAGTAGAAAGTCACTATGAGTTTATGAAGCTATATTTTGGGAAGGTATGATTATGTTTTAGACTATTGTGCTAATTATACTATGCAATATATTATAGTAATGGATATCTAAATACCAGCTTGATAATATTTTCTGTAGATTATTTTGTTTGATTCAAATTATTACATAAGTAACTCTTGATTTGATTCACTTGAAACTAACATGTTTTCTTTTCTTTTCTTTTCTTTTTTTTTGGTGGGGGACAGAGTCTCACTCTGTCCCCCAGGCTAGAGTGCCGTGGACGGATCTCTGCTCACTGCAAGCTCTGCCTCCTGGGTTCACACCATTCTCCTGCCTCGCCTCCTGAGTAGCTGGGACTACAGGCACCCGCCACCACGCCCGGCTAATTTTTTGTATTTTTAGTAGAGACAGGGTTTCACTGTGTTAGCCAGGATGGTCTCGATCTTCTGACCTTGCGATCCGCCTGCCTTAGCCTTCCAAAGTGCTGGGATTACAGGCGTGAGCCACATCGCCCAGCCGGAACTAACATGTTTTCTTAATTTATAGTTTGGAGACATCAAGTCTTCACTGATGGTTTTGCTAAGGTTTACTTAAATCTAAGAAAAGTTTTGTATTTAATTTTATCAGAATACTAAAAAATCGTTAAATGGTATACTAGTACAGTTTATCATTAGGCAACAAGCATAGTAATGTTCATTTTAGCATCAGTTAATCTACATTTTATCCATGTACCTTCTTTTCATCCCCAGTGTTTAAAAGCCCATGGAAATGGTGCTATCAGGATAAGGAAAACTGTTTAAGTGAAAAGGAAATATAAACTTAAATATGCCAAACTTGCAAAAAAAACCAAAAAGATCAGTTTAGCTAAGAAAATTAAACATTCATTTTCTCTGAGACTACAACCATGCTCCTCTCTCAAGAAAAAAAAGAAAACTATTAAGAAAAATAAGCAGTTTCACTGGTGAGGCCTCAATCTATAAATGTGGATAAAGTCGGTTTTATCTTAGAATTTTTAAGTTCTGCAATCATTTTGCTTCCATTATGATTTGGTACTCAACAGAATATAGATAAGTAAGAAAAAGCTGCCTTGGTTCGATAAGAGTTTTCTTCAGTGGGAGATCACATTTACTTTTTAATTGTATTTCTATCTGTAAGTTTTTCACCATTCTTGAGTGAAGGGCAATAGTAGTGTGGCTACTGAGATTGGATCAAGATAGGTTAAAAAAACAAAGATACTGATAAAAATAAATTGGAATCATGTAAACTGCTGTTTCATATTTGGTCATTCAAAAAAATAAACAGTGAAAGAAAATACTATGCTAATAAAACTTGCATATTATTAGATAGTATATTTAAAATTCATTGAAATATTAAAAATAACAATGTTATGTATATCTTTTTATTTTGACTAGATATATAACCAATGGTTGTTATATAGACAAAAAAACAATAAGTGAAAATGTTCAGAAATTAGGGAAAGGGAGGTCACAAAAAGAATTCAATTTGGCCGGGTGTGGTGGCTCATGCCTGTAATCCCAGCACTTTGGGAGGCCAAGGCAGGTGGATCACCTGAGGTCAGGAGTTCAAGACAAACCTGGCCAGGATGGTGAAACCCTGTCTCTATTAAAAATACAAAAATTAGCCGGGCGTGGTGGTGGGCACCTGTAATCCCAGCTGCTTGGGAGGCTGAGGCAGAGAATTGCTTGAACCCAGGAGGTGGAGGTTGCAGTGAGCCGAGATCGCACCACTGCACTCCAGCCTAGGCAACAGAGTGAGACTCCATCTCAAAAAAAAAAGGAAAAAAAAGAATTCAATTCACAACACTTATTGAGCATATACTATGTGTTAGACACTATTCTAGGCACTGGGTTTTCAAAGATGCCTAAAATACAAGGATTATCAAAAGAGCTTACACTCTGCAGGGACAGATAACTATGGAATTAATCACAATAGTGCAAGGTACTTTTTAGCATTATTAACAAAGTACTATGAAAGCACAAAATAAATCATTTTCTTTAGCTGGGCTGGAGAAAGTTTTAGAGAAAAGATGACCCTAGAATTTGGCTTCAAAAGATGGAATAGGATTTTTTGGGGGGGGTGTCGGGGAAGATGGAGTCTCGCTCTGTTGCCCAGGCTGGAGTACAGTGGTGCGATCTCGGCTCACTGCAACCTCCACCTCCCGGGTTCAAGCAATTCTCCTGCCTCAGCCTCCCGAGTAGCTGGGACTACAGGCGCAGGCCACCATGCCCGGCTAACTTTTTGTACTTTAGTAGAGATGGGGTTTCACTGTGTTGCCCAGGCTGGTCTCGAACTCCTGAGCTCAGGCAACCCACCTGCCTTGGCCTATCAAGGTGCTAGGATTACAGGCGTGAGCCACTGTGCCTGGCTGATGAAATGAGGTTTAAGCATAAGGTTCCCATCTCCACCCTTCCCATTCCATCCTGTTGGCATTTCATTTAAAAAACAATAGAACAATCGGCTGGGCACGGTGGCTCATGCCTGTAATACCAGCACTTTGGGAGGCTGAGGTGGGCGGATCACGAGGTCAGGAGATCAAGACCATCCTGGCCAACACGGTGAAACCCCGTCTCTACTAACAATACAAAAATTAGCCAGGCATGGTGGCACATGCCTGTAATTCCAGCTACTCGGGAGGCTGAGGCAGGAGAATTGCTTGAACCTGGGAGTCAGAGGTTGCAGTGAGCCAAGATCGCCACTGTGCTCCAGCCTGGCGAGAGAACAAGACTCTGTCTCAAAAAATAAAAATAAAAAATAAAAGAAATAGAACAATCATGGAGGCATGAAAGTCCATTTTCAAGGACCATGAATAGTCTGCTCTGATTTAAAAATGGGATGTGTGAAATGTGACATTGGAATATAGGTTGAGATCAGCTTTTGAAGACTTCCTTACTAGGAGATTAGAATTTAAGTAATGGGAAGCCATTGAAGGGTTTAAAACAAATAAGTGACACAGGCAGATTGTGTTTTAGAAAAATAATTCTTGCAACAGTATGGAGGATGGCTGTATGGAAAGAAATCAATAAGAAGAATGTTGTAATAATCTAATCATGAACCTATGAGTCTGTGAATTAGGACAGTACCACAATGAAGAGGGATAGATGCAGGATGAATTTTGGAAGTAGACTTGGTATGGTTAGTGACATTTTATATATAATGGATATTGGGAGGGGAAAAGACATCAAATAGTCTCAGGTTGGTATAACTCATAGAATGATAATATCATTAACTAGCTTAAGGAATGTGAAAGGAGAAGCAGATTTTGTGGATGAAAATAATGAGTTTAATTTGAGAACTGTAGAATTTATGGTGCTTTTAGGACATCTAGCTTGAAGTGCATACTATCCATTTGGAGATGTTAATCTACTCCTAGGAGAGAGGTTGGGGAGGAGATATAGATTTAAGATTTATTAGCATAAAGGTGAAATTTGAAGTTATAGGTGAAATAATGTGGAAAGAGTGGAACACTTGAAGGAAGAGTGCTTAAGAAGAAAGAACCTTGGGTTTCTTATCCCAGGAAGCAAGAAAAAAGAAGAAAGAACCTTGGGAAAAGCCAATATTTTGTGAGTGGGGTGTGTGTGTGTGTAAGAGAGAGAGAGGAGAGGGGTGTGTGTATGTGTATGTGTGTGTGTGTGTTTGGGGGCAGGAGGGGAGAGGGAGCTGGTAAGACAGGTAGGAGGATAAAGAGAGAGTACTAGCATGGAAGTCAAGAAAGGAAGCTGTTTCAAGAACAGAGTAGTCAACATGGTCAAATGCTACAGAGCTATTAAATGATGTGAGACTTGGAAAAAATCCTTTTGCTAATTTGCAGGTGATATTTGAGAAAACAGTAGAACAATGAGGGCAGAAGTCAGGGTATTAAGGAGTGATGGGAGGTTAGAATTTGAAAGTAGCAAGTATAGACTTTAAGAAATGAGAAAGACAGGGCCAGGCTCAGTGACTCATGCCTGTAATCCCAGCACTTTGGGAGGCCGAGGTGGGCGGATCACAAGGTCAGGGGTTCGAGACCAGCCTGGCCAACATAGTGAAACTCTCTAAAAACACAAAAATTAGCTGGGCGTGGTGGTGCAAGCCTGTAAGCCCAGCTGTTCGGGAGGCTGAGGCAGAAGACTCGCTTGAATCCAGGAGGCGGAGGTTGCAGTGAGCCAAGATCACGCCACTGCACTCCAGCCTGGGCAACAGAGTGAGACTCCTTCTCAAAAAAAAAAAAAAAAAAAAGAAAAAGAAAAAGTGAAACAGACAGAGGAACTGGGTCAAGGAGGAAAAATATTAGGAATGTGTGTAAAGCATATTTGTAGGCTGACGAGAAGATGCTGGTGTAGTGTGAGAGATTGAGAATAGGAAGAAGAAAAGAGAAAATTCCTAGAATTAGGACTTAGGAAGATAGGAGAGGAAGGAATGAAGAACACATGGAGAGTTTAGCCTTGGAAAAGAAATACCTTGCAGAGATAGATTTAAAGATGATTAAAAATAGATGAAATGAACAGAAAGTAACATGAGTTTACACCTACTGGCCTCTATATAGGGCTTTATAGAGGAATATTAATTATAAAAATATTAGGAATAGTAATTATAGTATTTATAATAAGGAATATTACAAGCACTAGTGGAATTTGTGGTAGGAGTTTTAAAATTGTTCAAGAGAAACTTTTATAAGAAACTTTTAAACTTTTATAAAACCACAAATATACTTTTCCATGACAAAAGGATATTTTTCGCCTCAGTGGAACTTACCTTGGCTCATATTTGAGGCTTCTGTGAGAGTACTCCTTTCCCCAAAATCAAGTTTATGAAATTTTATAGGGAGTGAAAGTCTAATTTATGGATATAAATATACGGCTGACATGTCAGTTTCTGTGGTACCACTTAGTGCTTAGTACTCATCTAGTGGAATTCAAATCTGTATGTGCAATTTGTAACAAGAAAATTAAACTTTAAGAAAACAATGGAAGTATAATGTTTGTAGAATATAAAATTCATAAATTCTTATTTATGAATTTAATTTTTTGTTTTTTATGAATTTAAATAAATTTTTTTATGAGACAAGAGGTAGTTTAATATTGTCATTAAGGACACGGTCCTCAGATTTAGCTTTGGAATTAAATCCTCACTGCCATTTTGTATCTACTTGATCTGGGACAAGTTACTTAACTTCTGTGAGCCTCGTATTTCTTACCTGTAAATTGGGCATAATAATACCTCATAGGGTTTTGCTGAGTATGCAGTTATGCTTATTAAGTAGTCAGCCCAATTCAATAAATGGTAGCTCTTAATATTAGTAATGACTTTGTGATTGTTTTGATTCTTTGACTATTTCCTGAAACTTTTGTTAATGAAATATTTTCAGACAAAACATATTTATATACTTGATATACTTGTTTATTCTGGTTCCTTTTTTATAATAGGCTGAAGAACTTAATGGAGAAATTAATAAGATTAAAAATGAATTATCATCCCTTAAAGAAACTCATATTAAGT